>NC_000004.12:87860774-88012290 GCF_000001405.40 Homo sapiens | reverse complement strand
CATTTAACCTTTAGAAGGCTTAGTGCCCTCAACAGTAAAGTGGTGACGGATGAGAGTTCTTTCTTCACAGGTTGTTGTGAGGATAAAAACAAAACTATGAATATAAGGAGTTTAACACAGTGCCTGGCACACTGTGAGCAATAAACCATTATTTCCTTTTGAATTTAACAGTCTAGGGCAGGGTTTCTCAAAGTCCTCACTCCTGGCAATTTGGGTGGGAGAATGCTTTGTAGTGTGTGTGTGTGGGGTGGCTGTACTGTGCATTGTAGATTAGCAGCATCCTTAACCTCAACCCAGGAGATGCCAGGGGCATCCCCCCAGGTATGACAATCAAAAATGTCTCCAGAGATTGCCAAATGTCCCCTGAGGGGCAAAACTGCCCCTCCCCCCCCCCCCCATTGAAAACCTGTAATTTAGGATAAAGCTCTGCTCGTGATGACATAAGACTAAGTTCTGAAGCCTCAAGACAGGCTAAATTCATCAGTCACTGTGCATAGACTATCATGAACAGCAACTAAGAGCGGTGAGTTGGATGTTTGCAGTTTCTGTGTGGTAGCATCAACCAAAGCCATGTTCAAATCTTTTTTTAAGTCTCAATAACCTTTCCAATAACTAATTATGCTTCCCTTTAGACATCGAAAGGGAAGGCAGAAAAAATAAAAATTACATAAAGTATGGCAAAATGAAATAACTGCATTGGAGGTCACTTATTAAATACAATCAGCACACCAATTTCAATGTCAAGATCCAATTATTTTAGGAGAAATAAGAGTCGACTTATTATTTCATTCATTATTCCAGGTATTCAACCTGGAATACCCTCTCTAAAATGTTACACGAGCAAAAAATTAACTTCTTGTTCTTCAGGGTATTGAAGGGGAGGGAGGTATCTGTTTTAGCAGCTTAGCCCACCCTGACTTGCACAGCTAGTACTTCATAGTTTCTCTAGGAAAAAAAAAAAAAAGCCCAAGAATATACGCCTAAAATAACAAACAGGAACTGACTTTAACAGGTTGATACATTCAGAAAAACATTCAACTTCTGAAATTCAGAAAATTTTATGACTCAGAGTGCCATATTTTATCTTTGTACTAAAAAGAATTTGCTAAGAAAAGAATAAACAAATACTTGAGGATACTTTTAAATCTGGGCTTCATCTTTAAATCTTTCGGTCATCCTTGGCTTCCTTTGGTCCAGGCCCTCTTCACCTCCTTACTGGCTGCCTCCCACAGGTCTTCTTGCCTCCTTTCTCTCTGCCAAGCTCTCCTGTACACCATGCTGCTGACACAATTTCCTTTCAGCATGTTCTGTTCCTGCTCAGAAACTTTCAACTCCTTCCTAATATTTAGGGCTACATTCTCAATTCCTTGATTAGATACAATGCATACAGCAAACAGGCCTCAACAGGCCTCAAACATGTCTTCTTTCTTTACTATTTTACTTCTGCTAAGAAGATAGATCTATTTACTGTAGAAGGAGCAAAATCGACCATTTGTTGTCCATCTTGGATTCATGTCATTAAACAACAGACCAGAGCATGGTGAAGCTAGAAAGGACCTTGGAAGCTAGGTTCAATTCTTCCATTTTATAAATGAGGAGCTCAGGCTCAGGTAGTTTGAGGGAGCTATACAAAGTCACAAAGGCAAGAGACTTCCAGGGAAACTCCTGACCACTCCAAACTTCAGTCATTTCTCCCACCTTTAAAAATTGCAAGTTACTTTCTGTTCTGATCCTAGGGCACTGCTTACATAGTGCATATAAGATTTCTGTCATCAGTATCCAAAGGGGGCAGGGGGAATCTCAACCCATTCATGGCTATTTATTTTACATTTCTGGGTTTTTGTCCATAGGAAAACAGTGATATGCTATTCTAGTTTATTCATAGCAGCTAGCACAGTGCTATCTTCACAGTAGGTGCTAAACATTTTAAAATGTTGCTTATTTAATAAGTGACAAGAATATCAATTATATTTCTTCATAAAAGAAAGGAATAACAATTTATTTAAACATTTTATATAATTAAAACTTTTCAGCTAGGAGCAGCAGCTTGCACCTGTAATCCCAACTACTTGGGAAGCTGAGGTGGGAGGGCAGCTTGAGCCCAGGAGTTTGAGGCCGCAGTGAGCTACGTTTGCTTCCCCGCACTCCAGCCTCAGTGACAGAGTGAAACCCCGACTCTTAAAAAAAAAAAAAAAATTCCCGATTCCTGAGTCTGCTCTCCTACAAATCAGACCATTGACACACTTTGGCTAGAGGTTTTATGACTATGAGCTTATTCATTTTGTTTCCTGAAATTTTCCTTTAAAAGAAATAAATTTACATACATACTCATATGAAATATATATTTTATTTCTCTATATTCTGTTATTGAGTTTATTCAAACAAGGTTAGGGGTGTTATCAAATGCTTAAACTGAGTTAAAAGGATCATGCAACTTACCATTATTTATTAACTTAAAAGGAACTTCTCTCTCACTTCAGTGAATATTTTTTAAATGCACATTTTAAATGGTGTAAAATAACATAATTAATCCAGTTTTGAATCTTAAAAAGTGTTAGTGTTTTATTAATTTACTCACACAGGTTATCCGAAAAGGATCTTCTGTTCCCCATCATGCTTTTAATAAAATTAACTAGTATAAGAATCTCCATAAACGAAGTACCAAAATGTTTACATTTATATTTCTGAAGCGCTAATAACATGACAAATACATGCTGCACATTTTATGTCTTAACTCACTTAATTCTCCCAAAGAGTCAAGTCCTAAGCGTTATGATCATCTCTTTAAAAAAAAAAAAAATCCAAAAATTGGGTATCAGAGAGGATAAGTAACTTGCTCAAGGTCGTACAGCTAATGAGTGGTGGAACTGGGATTTCAGTGTAGGCCTGACCTGGTTTTAATCACACTGCTGTAACAACACCTGGATTGTTTTTGTGCAAGACTTTCAAAACTGACAGAAGGAGAAGAACAAGAAAAACTCAACTGAGAATGGAAACTCTTAAAAATATAGATTAAAATAATTTGGAGGGTAAAAGCAAATGAAATACTTTCCCAAGGATACCTCTGACAAAATTTGTAAAAAGAGAATTTCCTCTGGTACTAGAAAATTCATGTCCTCTTACTGGGCACTGGCAAATTTGAAAATTCCTCTTCTGCCTTTTGTAGAGCTGGGCGCACTGGGCTCAGACACATTTATCAGCTGCTATCTGGTGACTTCATCATTTTGGTGGAATTTCAAAGAACATTAATTTAGTTATTTAAAAACATACTTCAAATTTTTTTAAAACAATGTAATCTTTCCTTTGCAACTGTTTTTAGAAAAATGTCTAGAATTAGAAACGGCCAAATAACTTCACGATATTATTTTATTCTATTTGTGGTGTTCTTAACAGCTCCCACTCCTCAAAACAACCACACACATCACCAAAAAAATGCACCAATGACAATCTGCCACACTCCTCCCACAACTTGACATTATATGCACTGTACTGCTACCCTTTTCAGCCCGGGACAATGGAGTGTCCAGGCAAGAAGGAAACCACGGGTGACTATAACATTTTCCTTTAGATTTTGTGACATTGGCAAATATGCAGTTGCAACTACCATCAGTTACACAAGTAATGTTCATTTTTTCCTCTACAAGAAAAAAAAAAACAAAACCCAGATGTACTCTTTCACTCTAATTAGGCTTTCACTAATTTTCAGTAAAAAAGACTATGGTGACATATCCTGAAGAAGGAGGTATCCAATAAATATGCACCAACAAAAGAGCAGTGGAATTCCGCGCTGGGTACCGGAAATAGGGCAGCACTAGCGGAGGTGGGGAATGCGCTTCCAAGGGAGGCGGAACGCAGAGGGGATGCGAGATGGAGCCCGGGGAGCTGCCGCAGCGGGCGATGGCCCCGGCCGGCGCCGGCCGTTCTGGTTCGTGCATCTGCCGCTGCGGGTCGCGCGCTCTTACCTCGCAGCCCGCGAACCAGCCTCTCCGCCCAGGCCACTCGGGGCGGCTGCCCTTCCAGGGGGAGGTGGCGATGCAGCGGGTCCCCGCCGCCGACTGGGCTGGGGCACGGCGGGCCCTGGTCCTCTCGCCGGCGCCGCCTCCCGCTCGGGTGGCCCGCGCCGTGGTAGCCCCCAAGCCCCCGGCTCCGCGCGCCCACGGAGCTCACGGCCGAGGAGGCGGCCGACCTCCGGCTGCCCGGGCGCCACTCTACGTCCATCTCCACCACCATTCCGCCTTCTTCCCCTTCCACCTCCTCCTCCTCCTCCTCGGCCTCGAAGCCGGGGTTATCGCGGCTCCACGCCTGCCGGGAGCACGACGAGAGCGGAGGAGAAGGGGAGGCCGCGGCTCCGGCCGGGGGGTCCCGCGCGGCCGCCTGCCGGATGCGCTGCATCTCGATCTCCAGGCCCCGCTGCTCGCAGAGGCCGCCCGGGGCGGCGAGGCTGGCGCCCACGGCCGCGCAGCCAGCCATCAGCCGGCCCGGGTCCGGCGCGCGGGGCGCGGGCGGCCGCTTGGCGTCCCCGGGCTGCTGAGGCTGCACGCGACTGGAGTTCACCATCGCGGTCACTGGCGTCCGGCGCGCGGGTGCGCGGCGCCGCGCTCGGCGCTGTGCGCCTCAGGAGCCATGTTCCTTTCTTCCCGGCGCCCGCCGCCGCCTGCTCCCCGCCCCCGACCTCCCCGCGGTCCCGCGTCCTCTCGCCCGCCCCTTTGGCCCGCCTCCCTCTGGCCTCGCCCCGCCTCGCCCATCCGCCGCGGCGCGCTGAGCGGGGAGGTGCGAGGGAGCCGCCCCCGCGGTCTGCGCGCTCGCCCGGCGGCTCCCGAGTCCGCGTTCCAAGTGGAACCGGAGCCCGGGCGCGGGCGCCCACGTTCCATTCCCGGGAAGGCCTGGGAAGGGAGGGAATCGCTCACCCGCCAGCCCGCCTGCAGGGAAAGGGCTCCTGGAGCTGTCGATGCCTGCCCGACGCTGAGATAACTCTTGGGTCCCAGTTATCCACCAGCCACTTCTGCCTCGATTCACCAAAGGGCAGGGAAAGAACCTTTTGGTGAGATGGTGTGAATTAGCGACATCCAGCCTGAGCTGAAGTCTCCAGCGGGTCAAAGAAATCTTTCCATTTGCAAACTACCAAGGCTGACTTGCTGTGCATTTGGCGGGCCTCCTGCCCCTGATTCTGCTGGTTTGGAGATGCTTTCTCGCTCTTTGGTTGGCTTCTGTCTCCACACATTGTGGGGATCCCAGGGATTCGTCATAGGACTCTCGGATCGCTGGTGCCTCCACTGTGATCTCCGGTCTCCCTGCGGCCAGCACTGACTTCTAGCAACAGAATCCTGCATGAGGGCCTAGGCACAGAACTTTATTTCCACTCTTCTGAACACATCTAATGTGATGCTCTGCAATTGTCTGAAATTTATCCTACCCTAAGTCATTATCTTGTCCCCTTCTCTGGAACCTGCTTCACTTCCCGTATCCCAAGGTGAGGTTTGGGGCTTCGCTGTCCTCCTCACTTCCCAGGCCACTCTTCTTCATGGAAGCCTCGCGGTTTACCCTCCACCGCCTACACCTTATCTTCTTGTTACTTTTGCCCCACAGATATCACCCTGATATGATCTCTGTTTCTCACTCCTGCTGGCTTGATCTTATGTCTTGCATTATTCCGCATTAGAACAATTGATCCCTGTCAACTCCCATCTCTATTCTCCACGTCGGTGTCCTCACTATTTCCAGGTTATATTGCAGAACCAAAGCTGCTTATTTGTCACGTTGATGCTTAGACACCTCTGTGGGCTTCTGGCAGCTGAAAGGATAAAATTTAATTTCTGTGGTTTGGTTTAGTAAATTCTCATAATCTGCTCCTGTATTTGTTTGTTAGGGCTGCCATAACAAAGTACCAGAGACTGGGTGGCTTAACAGAAATTTATTTGCTCACCTTGTCTCTACAAAAAATACAAAAATTAGCCAGGCTTTGCGGTGTGTGCCTTTGGTCCCAGCTATTAGGGACGCTGAGGTGGGAGGATCGCTTGAGCCCGGGAGGCAGAGGATGTAGTGAGCCAAGATCGGGCCACTGCACTCCAAGTGACAGAGTGAGACTCTGTCTCATAAAGAAAGAAAGAGAGAGAGAGAAGAAAGAAAAAAAGAAGGAAGGAAGGAAAAAGAAAAGAAAAATTGTATTTTCTCACGAGGTGTTGGCAGAGTTGGTTTCTTCTGAGGCCTCTCTCCTTGGCTTGCAGATGGCCCCGCTTTTGTGTCCTCACGCCGTCTTCCCTCTTCCCTCTGTATGCGTCTGTGTCCTAATTGTCTATTCTTATACATCATATTGGATTAGGGCCTACCCTCATGACCTTGTTTTCACTTCATTACTTCTGTAAAGACCCTGTCTCCAAGTATGGTCATGTTCTGAGGTAATGGGGGTTAGGACTTCAACACAGAAATTTTTGGGGGGACACAATTTAGCTTTAACAGCTCTTAATGTACTCCTCTAGCATGGCATCCCATGCCATCCATCCACCTTAATGAATTATTCATTTGTTCTCTAGGCACATATAACATGCTGCTAATATTTAGGTAATTATGGCTACCTATTACCTGATCCTGCAGTTTATTAATTTAGATATTCATGTTCTTCTCTTAACTGTGAGCTTCTCAAAGGCAAGACTGGTGGGTCTGGAGCACAGCCCTAGCTCATGCTATTCATCAGTTCATTCTGAAGACATTTCCTGTGCCCTGAATTAAGGTCTGGGCATGTAGAGAGGAGTATGATACAGCCTTGGCCCTCAAGAGGAGACAGACCAAAAATGAGAGATTACCAAGTGGGTTAAGGGTTATGGTGCCTGTCATCCAAGGAACTTCTGAAGCTGAAGATGTCCTGAATAGCACCAGCAGCACTGCAGAGTCGAAGGATTCTTACAGACACATTCCAACAGAGGAGAGCCAGGCCTGGAAAGAGAATGCAGAATCTGAGCCAAAGGGTCCTCTGGAGAATAGGCCTAGTACAATGTTTTCAAATTGTGATCAGAAGATCTCCAGCATCACTTGCAGCTCTTGCTAAAAATATAGATACTGGGTCCACATTCCAACCTTATTGACTCAAAATCTTCCGGATTCCAGTCCTGAAATTCTGAATCTTCACAGGGGATTCTCAGGCATCCAAAGTTTGAGAAGCACCAATGTGTTCCAAATGGAAGAGGTTTCATAAATATTTCCCCCACATTTCTATACTTCACTGTTAGCACTAGTGAGACAATCATCTGGAATCCCAGACTTAGAAGAAAATTCAGTGGTCTTTGAGTCAGGTTACTCTATGCTTGTGCCTGCAGTCACTAATTCGTTGTAAGGACCCTGGAGCCAGACTGCCTGGATTCTGATTTACTCACTACTTCCTAGCTGTGTGACCTTGGGAAAGTCACTTTATCTCCTTGTACCACCAAAGATGAGGATAATGATAATGCCTACCTCATAGGGTTGTTGTGAGGATTAGGTGAATTAATACATGTGTTTTAGTCCATTCGGGCTGCTATAAAAAATATCATGTAGTGGGTGGCTTATAAACGATGAACCTTTATTTCTTACAGTTCTGGAAGCTGGACGGTCCAAGATCATGCTGCCAGCAGATTTGTGGTCTGGTGAGGGTCTACTTTCTGGTTCATAGACTGCACCTCCTAGCTGTGTCTTATGGTAGAAGGGGCAAAAGAGCTCCCTTGAGCTGCTTCTCTAAGGGCACTAATCCCATTTGTGAGGGCTCCAGCCCCATGATGTAATCACCTCTCAGAGGCCCCAGCTCCTTATACCATCACTTTGAAGGTTAGGATTTCAATGTATGAATTATGGGGGGGGAACACAAACACCCAGACCATAGCATGTGGAACACCGTCTGACATGTACGTGCTAATAGTGTTAGAAGTAGTCTTTGCTCTTATATCTTAATTATGATAACTGTTTTCATCTATGATAATTGCTTTTGTGGATGTCTTTGTTAGTGTTAGAAGTGGTCTTAGCTCTTATATCTTAATTATGATAACTATTTTCATCTATTATAATTGCTTTTGTGGATGTCTTTGTTCCAGCTAGGCTGTGAGTTTCTGGAGGGCTCCATGCCAATCCTAGAGGCTTCTATAACAAATACTTACTAAACACCTACTATATGCCAGGCACAATACTAGGAGAGACGGCAATTCATTAAATAGGGGAAAAGCCTAGCTCTCATAGAGGTGAGCTTATATTTTACAGGGTTTGAGGGGATTTAGAAGAGAGATTGCCCAGGCTGGCATGGGTAGGGAAGGTAGGTAGGGCCAGATCATAGGAAGCCTCAGATGTGTGTTAAGGAGTACAGACTCTCTATAGTTAATGATAACATAAATAGGCCTTTTTTTTTTCTTTCTAGAGTGTCAGTTCCTATTTAAAACAAAATCTGAAATCTTCCTGAAACTATATCCTCACCCTTAAAAGAATTCAAATTGATTGGAAATGTGTCTGCACATACATAATTCAGAGTTATATGTGTGCTTACCCAAAATTTTCTTTACAAATTATTGCAAGAAATGTAATCATTAAAAATTCGCAGCAATTTTTGTGTAATACCACTTAAATAGCATTTGGTCCATTGCACCCTAAATCTTACATTTTGGAGTTTCAATATTAATTTCAATCTTAATTTTCATAAACCCAACACCAGCCATCTAATATATTTCCTGTTCAAATACTTATTCATTCCTTCTGGCTTACTAAGGTTCCCTTTTGTGCTTTTATGTTAATTTGTTTCTCCCCTTTAGAGTGCCCAGCTTTTGCTCAAGCAGGCCCTGAGGCTGTAAATTTCTCTCCCTACCCACGGAATTCCTTCCTTTAATACCCATCTGAAGACCTTACTTCTAATAAGAAATTTTCCATTATTAAATAAGTGACGTGCACAAAGTTTTTTTCATCTCATTTCCACAATCCTGTTGTCACATTACAAATTTCCATCATCTGTAGCATCTGGAAATACCGAGTGGGATAGATAACATGGCCTGGCTGCTGTTTGTTTTTTTTTTCATCAGTGTGCTAGATCTTCCTGGACACGCTGCACAAATCTCACCTCAGTCTTAGTGCCACCGTGGACGCTGGAAGGAGCCATTTTAAAAGGCAACCTTAAACAGTTCAGTCTAATTTAATATTAGTGGCCTCCACACCTCTGACTCTTGTATTATTAGAATTGCCTGTTTGGCTTTTATTTTCCAGTGTGAACTGATGAAACAGACACAAAGTGAAGTACCCGTTGGTTTCGCGGTCTCCACCTCGAGAGGAAATCCAAAAGGAGTTTCTGGCATGTGTGGTGTTGCTTAGCAATTTACCCAAACAAACATGTTTCCTCCTCATTTTTTTCCCCAGTACTTATTTACTCAAGAACATTGTAAAATCAATTTTTACCACTTGACATCTGAAATCATTAGAAGAAAATCTGGTGTTTTGGGCTTTATGAGAAGAACTGCTAACCACAGTAAGACTTTGACTTTACTTTGTTTGTCATTTTGCTGCTTTAATAACATAAAGCTAGGATTTGTGGCCTTCTTCATGATAGATTTGGTTTGGATTGGCCTGCATACATCCCTGTCTCTGTGGGGTTATCTTGGCACCATAATTGGCTGGCACCGTGATCTTGATGACCTAATCTCTCTATCTCAATTTCCTTCTCTGGATAATGAGGTTAAATACCCATCTTATAAATCCCCCACAGAATTTTTGTTGAGGACTAATGAAGGAATATTAATAAGTTTATAAAACATGTATTGAGTGTCCGCTACATGCCAGTCACTGTGTTGCATTCCAGAGTGACAAAGATAAGACATGATTCCTACCTTCAATGAGATCAAATCTTATAGTTAAACTGCCTGGAAACATCCATAGATCATTCTCAACTTCTCTACCCATAAAAACTTAGGAATTTTTCTAGACTCAGACTTCATCTCTCCCTGGAACCTTCCATAGACACAATCTTGGCCCCCAGCATGAATTGACATGCCTCTCTACCCTGTAAACCTTTATTCCAACATTTGCCACCTTATACTGAAAATATCTGTTCACATAGACGTCTTCGTGAGTGGCACATAAGCTCCTGGAGAGCAGGGACCCTGGCTTATTAGCAGCTCAGCAGCCAGTCTGTTTTCTAGTGCAAGTTTTCTTGGGGACACCCCCACCTACCCACCCCTGCTGCCATTCTTAGCCTATATGTGTCTCAGGTGTGGCAGACACCACTGCTAGCTCCCAAGTGGTGATTGTGGAGCTCAGGCTTGCCCAATCAGCATCACGTCTCCTTGGCCCCTGTGAATGGTATTTCACAAGTATGTTATCCTGTTGTGTTAAAAAAAAAAATTAGGCCAGAAATTTTTTTCCAGTTGTTGGAAAAGAAAAGCTTTTCTTCCCACCAGATTTAGAGTTTTAAAGATGTAAGTCCAGACAAGCTGGCAGCCAAAATGTTGATGCTCAGGGGAAAAATGGCGCCAACAATGGAGATACAAAAAATATTTATAATGTGGATACTGGAAGAATACTAAAATTGAACTAATGTTTGGGTGGCCATGCTATTCAAGAACATTATGAAATACATTTTTATTGTGTGCCATCTCCTGGTTTTGTCAGATGCAGATTATGATATTTATTATCTATATTTTTATCCAAGTTCAAAAGAATTTTGAACAAATTGGGGCCAAGAACAGAGTTCTTTGAAATACTGTGTGCAGCTCTTCTCTTCATCAACTCTAGTTTATTCACTAGTACTGTTTGGGTATAGTTGTATTTTAAAAAAACTTTAAATCCAATTTTCACTAGCCCAGATTTTTCCAAAGCTTATCACAATTTTTTTTCAAATACCTTTTGATGCCAACATGAATGAGGCTTCCAGCATTCCCAGATCTACCAGACTTTGCAGAGTACCTGTTTTATGTCCCCTTCGTACAATCTTAGATATGATTAGGATGCTAAAGAAGTTGTTTATGCCTGCAAGAAGCTTGTAACTAGCTTGCTATACATGGATAAAACATTTAACCAATAAGAGCTTTATGACATTCTTCTGGGAAGTTTTTTTTGTTTTGTTTTATTTTAAATAAAGATTCTGGAGTCTAACTTCTAGGGATTCTGATTCATTATGTCTCAGCTAGGTCCTAGGAATCTGTATTTTAAGAGAGTAGATCAAAGAGACAGAGAAAGACTAGGTTCTCAGGACATCATTTGAACCCCTGAGTTAGAACTAATTGAAGCTAGATCCACCCCTGGACTCCATGAGCCAAAAAATATCCTTTTAAAAAATTAAAAAAATTATTTCAACTTTACCCTTGCCCCTTTCCCTCCCTCCCTCCTCTTGTATTCCCCACTGTCTATTGTTGCCATCTTTATCCATGGGCACCCAAAGGTTAGCTCCCACTTATAAGTGAGAACATGTGGTATTTGGCTTTCAGTTACTATGTTAATTTGTTTAGGTTAATGGCCTCCAGCTGCATCCATGTTGCTGCACAGGACATGATTTTATTCTTTTTCATAGCTTCATAGTATTTCATAGTGTATAGTACCATGTTTTAAAAAATCCAATCCATCATTGATGGGCACCTAGATTGACTCTATGTCTTTGCTATTATGAATAGTGCTGCAATGAATATACAGGTACACATGTCTTTGTAATATTATTTACAGCATTCCCATCAGCAATAAATAAGAGTTCTTTTTCCACATCCTCAACAGCAGTAGCATTATCAGTGTTTTGGATTTTGGCCATTCAAATGGGCGGGCAATTGGATCTCGTTGTTTTAATTTGCAATTCCTTATTGACATATATGTGGAGCATCTTTTCATATGCTCAGTTGCCATCTGTATATCTTCTTTGGTAAGGTGTCTGTTCAGGTTGTTGGCTCATTTTTTCCTTTTATTTACTGGGGAAAAGCATGAATGCAGTATGCTGCTACCACAAATTACGCAGTTGAGTTTCCCACATTTGGAGAAATCACAGGGATCAGCAAGTCTTCAGTGGAATAGAGAAGCCTTGCCCTAGGGAAAACTACCCTTGTGGTCATGGTATCTACCCTGCCTGGTAAGTCTTTTGGGCCTATTTTTCAATCGGGTGGCTTATTTTCTTGTTGAACTTTAAGGGTTCTTTGTATATTTTGAATCACAATCCTTTATCAGATAGGTCTTTTGCAAATATTTTCTTTCAGTCTGTGGCTTATCTTCAATTTTTTTTTTTTTTTTGAAATTTTATATTAAGATAACTTTTTATTCAATAGATCAATAACATTCAGTGTTAATAAATATAGGCAATAGGTATTCTCATCTATGTGCTTTTGGTGAGATTATAATAATGTAGTGAAGGCTTTTCGGAAGATAGTTGGGCAGCATATATTACTATTTAAAAAGTGCATTCCATTTGATCCAACAATTCTAGTTCTTAGTTTCTGTGGTAAGACAACAGTCCTATGTATACAAAGGGTATATGCTGGGGGCACGTTATACATAGGGTAGGACTGGAGGACTAAGGCAAAGAAACATATTCTCTGTTGGCTTCTGTACACTTTATATTACTTAAGTAATTATTTTAAGTGCCCAAGAATTTGAAAGTAAGGTGGGTCTAGAAGTCTGTCATAGGTTTCATCAACAAAATTAAGCCTTGTCTACTTTTTTTTTTATTTTTATTTTTAATTTTTTTTTAATTTATCAACTTTTTTCAGTAGCTGATATAGTTTAGCTCTGTGTCTCCACTCAAATCTTATCTCCAGTTGTAATCCCCACATGTCAAGGGAGGGAGGTGATTGAATTATGAAGGCAGTTTCCCCCATGCTGTTCTCGTGATAGTGAGTGAATTCTCATGAGATCTGATGGTTTTATGAATGGCAGTTTTTCCTGCATCCTCACTTCTCTCTCCTGCCACCAGGTGAAGAAGGTCCTTGCTTCCCCTTCTCCTTCCGCCATGATTGTAAGTTTCCTGAGGCCTCCCCAGCCATGTAGAACTGTGAGTCAATTAAACCTTTTTCCTTTATAAATTACCCAGTCTTGGATAGTAGCTTTATAGCAGTGTGAAAATGGACTAATACAGTAGCCTTTGACCTTTCTTCTTAAAGATAAGGATATTAGCAAATGTAAACTTTTTACCAACAAACACCTTTTAAAATAAATATCTTTTACATTTGCCAAAGTCTATAAACTTTCATTTTGTGGTACAACAGTAAATATAACTTATTTTATATATTTTAATTTTTCATTGTTCACTACCAGTACTTTTTTAAAAGTATATTATCTTTATAGATAGTCATTAACATATTGTTAAATTTATATTTTATAGAAGATAGTTCCTAGTATTGTTTAATTTGTAGAGATAAAAGAGAAAATATGCAGATCCAACTTCTAAGAGCATTCAATATTATACACCAAGCTTATTCCTGAAAACAATGACCCAGAAAACCACATGAAAGAGTTTTATTATGGATATCCTAAAACAAGTAACTATAAGTTTCAGATATATATAGAATATTCCACAGTTCCTATAATAAAAATTCATGAGTTTTCTGATCACCTTCAATGTTTGTACTGAGTTAACACACCGCTGTTACATTAAAGCAAACCATTAAAAATAAAGCTAGTTTTCTCTCTTTTTTTCAACTTTTATTTTAGACTCAGAGGTATATGTGCAGGTTTGTTACCTGGGTATATTGTGTGATGCTGAGATTTGGGGTATGAAAGATCATGTCATCCAGGTACTGAGCATAGTACCCAATAGTTAGTTACTACCAGTACTTTACTAACATGAATTTTTCTTCCTTGAATTTTTTTCTCTTTATTTAAACCTTCTGGAGTAGATTTTTTATTAGGTGTTTTTTTTTTGGTTTGTTTTCAAAGAACAACCCATTAATGCTTCATTATTCCCCAAAACTGTTTAAAATTAAGAAGGCCTTTCTGTTACCATAGACATAAAACGAATGGATTGGGCATTATATTTTTCAGTTTAATCTTTTCTCCTCCTCTTTAGGATTTTCTAAATATTCCTCCACTTTCCTCTGCCATTAAATGTTGTTATGGGAAAAGTAGGAGGTCAGATTAAACCCATTGTTTTTCTCTCAGGCTGAGTAGATGAGTATTTTATTATGATTATTATTTGGCCCAAAAGTTATGTCTGTTTAGTGAAATTATTATTATTACTATTGTTATTGTTATCCTGCTCTCAGATACATCTTTCTGTTGATTATTCAGCATAATTATTTACCTAGGAGATATTGTGCATGTTTAATCAGCAAATTCAAATTTTTACTTATTTTAACAAGGTTTTCTTCTTTTATAATTTCAAATAATCTGCTGTTTCATTAATTCTGTAAATTTAGCAATACCTATTACGCATATGTTGAGCTACTGTGTCATGTTTCTGTATTATCTCCTTTCTAATTTCTCTTTCTGTCATTTTCTATTTTTATTTTTAATAGGATTTTTATAAATCTTGACCTTCATATTATTGTACCATTCATGATTTTGTGGTTTTAAAGGTGGCTTTTCTTTTCCTAATTATTTATTGAAAATCTTTAATTCCTCCTGTGAATTCTGCCAGCTCACTTTTCATTTTTCCATGGTCATGTATTTTATTTTATATTTTTCATTCTTTTTTAAAGTTAAAATTATTTTTAAAGGATTTCTGTTCCTGGCTCTGATGGAGCAACACGGACAGATTTACCCTCTTACTTAAACAAAATACAGACAAAATTTATAAAGGATGGTTCTGAAACATGGGACAACAGGCAGTATAAACAGTAATTTTTCAAAGAAGATAAAAAAAGGAAGTAAACCCTATGGTTTCTCTACTGATTCCCTAGAAAGAGATTTCAAGCTATCAGTCTCACTCAATTGAGAAGACAGAGTTCATTGAGAATTTGGGGAAAGTCAAAGTGGACAGAATTCACAAAGAACTAAAAAAAAGAGTATTGTGCAGAGAAAGAGCTCCAGCTACCTCCACAGAGTTTCCCTTGAGTTTTCAGATCATGCGTTTGGTGAACCCACCTGAGGCAAGGGAAAGAACTACCAGAAAGAAGCAGGTGGAAAAATTCCTGATGTTCACATAGACCGGGAAATTTCTCAAGTTTTTGTCATCTGAATTGAAGAAATCTTATACTGTATGAGGTGTTGAAGAGAATACTCAGAAGGACAATGCCTCCGTAGTAGGACCAAACTAGCCTAGAGTAAAGGCTGGTCTGTCTTGTATGACTCCTTGTGAAACTATTCTGCTGAGTATGTCACCAATTTTCTTAGCGAATCTAAGTGATTCCAAGTAATAAGTTGAAATTTTCACTATTTGTATGTTTTTATTGATTATTCATTGTGGTTCTAATAGTTTTTGGTTTATAATATTTTGTTGGTCTGTTATTTGCTGCATAGTGGTTTATGATAGTTATATCTTTATTGGATCTTTAACAATGTAGAATAAGTTCTTTGTTTCATTTCATGTTATTTGTTTCTAAATTTTACTTCTTATTTAACAGTAATGTTGCAAATCTTTAAAAATGTTTTACTTTATTTGTAAGGAAAACACCTAAAGCAAAGTGAAACAATAAGTGATGTAGGATCTATTATTATTATTTTCCATCATGTGAATCTTTGTCTTAACAGAGAGGCTTCGTCTATTTATATTTGTTGTTACAATTGATTTCTTTCATCATTCTGTTATTTCAGTGTTTCTCTTGAAAAATAGGTTCTTGTTATTCAATGATTTAGTTTTCACTTTATGTATCGTTTTCTTTATTTTGTCCTTCATATTTTGCAAGCTATATAGCCTCTGTTAAATTCCATTAATGGATATCTTTAAGCACTCTTTGACATGTAATTTTCTAATGTCTCAGTAAATAAAGAATTTGTCAACATAAAATGTGTGTGTAGGCCAGGTGCGGTGGCTCATGCCTGTAATCCCAGAACTTTGGGAGGCCAAGGTGGGTGGATCACCTGAGGTCAGGATTTTGAAACCAGCCTGACCAACATGGCGAAACCCCGTCTCTACTAAAAGAATACAACACTTAGCCGGACGTGGGGGCGCGCACCTGTGGTCCCAGCTACTTGGGAGTCTGAGGTGGGAGAATCGCTTGAACCTGGGAGGTGGAGGTTGCAGTGAGCCGACATCGCACTATTGCACTCCAGCCCGGGTGACAGAGCAACTCCATCTCAAAAAAAAAAATTAAAAAAAAAACACAAAAATGTATGTGTATAATCCTTGCACATACTGCTACCAGGATTATTTTTATCTCTAATCCACATATATTGCTTTATCTGCAGGAAAATTAGTTTTTAGAATTTGATGTAGGCTTATTTCCGTCTCTATTTCCTGCTCAATTGTGTTCTGGGATTTGGCATCTCTGCTCTGATAAATAAAGATATCAGGGAAACGGTACAGTACAGAACATTACTGTCCTTCAGATCATTAATGGAAGGTGGAGGAATTACTGCAAACCTTTCTTGTTGGCACAAGTTCTTCATCTTTGAGTTAGCCATCAGACAGTGGGCAGGTATGAAGTGGTTTTGTCGTCTCTCCTCTTTTTTTTTTTTTTTTTTTTTTTTGAGACATGGTCTCGCTCTGTTTCTGAGGTTGGAATGCAGTGGTGCAGTCATAGCTCACTGAAGCCTTGACCTCCTGGGCTCACAGGATCTTCTTGCCTCAGTCTCCTGAGTAGCTGGGACTATAGGCATGACATCACCCTTGACTCTCTTTCTTTTGTTCCTTCTCCCCTCACCTCCTCTTCCTGCTGCTTTTTCTCTTTATCCTCGTCTTTCCCCTTTTCCCCCTCCTCCTCCTGTTTCTTGATTTCTTTTACCTTAAGCAAAATCTGGGGAAATCTGGAGTAAAAATCTGCTTACACTTTTTTGTCTTCTGGTTAGGAGAGATTAGGATATACTCAGATGATTCATTGGTGTAAATCTTCTTCTTTATTCTCTGTCTTCATGGGCATTTTAATGAAAATTAGAAAAGGCGGTATGATGGGAGATTAGTTATGTATCTTTTTTTGTAATTAAACTTTTTACTTTGAAATAACTATAGATTTACAGAAAGGTACCAAGAAATATACAGGGAGGTCCTGTGTACCCTACACCAACCCTTCCTCAGTGTTAACATCTTACAAAACCAGGTACAATATTGGAACCAGAAAATTGACATCAGTATAATCCATAGAGCTTTCTCAGGTTTCAGTTATTGCATGTGTGCATAGCTGTATGCAATTTTATCGCACGTGTAGCTTTGTGTAACTGTCACCACCATCAAAATAAAGGTATCATCACCACAAAACTACCTCATGTTACAACTTTATAGCCACACTGTTACATCTCCTCCATCTCTAGTCTCTGACAACCACTAATCTGTTCTCCATCTCTATAATTACATTATTTCACAAATGTTATATGAATGAATTCATGCACTATGTGTCCTTTTGTAATTGGCTTTCTCCACTCAGAATAATTTCCTCAAGGTTCACTCAAGTTGTGTGTATCAGTAGTTCCTTCCTTTTTGTTGCTGAATAGTATTGCATAGAGTGCATACAGTGCTACAGTTTGTTCAAGCATTTGCCCATTTAAGTACATTTGGATAGTTCCAGTTTTGGACTATTACAAATAAAGCTGCTCTAAACATATACAAATTTCTGTATGAAAATAAATAAGTTTTCATTTCCCTAGGATATATAGCCAAGAGCGCAATTTGTGGATCATAGGTAAGTCTAAGTTAAAAAAAAATGCCAATGTATTTTCCAGAGTCGTTATGCTATATTACATTCCTACCAGCTGTATGAGCGATCAGTTTCTCCACATCCTTGCCAGCATTTGATGTTGTCACTAATTTTAGTTTTAGTCATTCTGATAGATGTGTCATAGTAATATGCTATTGCAATTTTAACTTGCTTTTCTCTGATGGCTAAAGATGTTGAGCATCTCTTCATGTGTTTATTTCCCATCTATATATCCTCTTTGGTTAAAATGTCAGGGCATGTCTATTGTCCATTCCCTAATTGGATTGTTTGATTTTTAAATTTTGACTTTTGAGAATTCTTTATTGTGGTTTAATAAAAAATATATTT
Organism: Homo sapiens; assembly: GCF_000001405.40. Taxonomy (NCBI): domain Eukaryota; kingdom Metazoa; phylum Chordata; class Mammalia; order Primates; family Hominidae; genus Homo; species Homo sapiens. Next base: position 87,994,246 of record NC_000004.12, on the reverse strand, counting down.
CATCTTTGTCCTTGGTTCCAGGCATACAGCTCCTAAAACACTTGGACTGTCCTAAGTGGCGAGTATCTTTTGTTTGCTAATAAGATGACTGGTGGCCAGGGTTCCTGGACAGCTTCAGGACAGGGACTGGTAACCAGAAAGAGGAAACAATGATTAGAGAGTTGAAACTTTTAGTCTGTCTCTCTGACCTCTGGAAAGGGGAGAGGGGCTGGAGATTGGGTTCAATCACGAATGACCAATGGTATAAACAATCATATCTGTGCAATAAAACCTCTATTAAAAACTCCTAAAGCATAGGTTTCAGGAAGCTTCCAGGTTGGTGAACAAATCAAGGTGCTGGGAGGGTAGTACACTCAGAAAGAGCATGGAAGCTCTGCACACCCCTCTTTCCCCCATACCTTGCCTAATGCATCTATGTTATTTGGCTGTTCCTCAGTTGTACCCTTTATAATAAACCAGTTGTATTAGTTTGTTCGCATGCTGCTAATAAAGACATACCTGAGACTGGGTAATTTATAAAGGAAATAGGTTTAATTGACTCACAGTTCAGCATGGCTGGGGAGGCCTCAGGAAACTTACAATCATGGCAGAAGGGGAAACAAACATGTACTTCCTCACGTGGCAGCAGCAAGAAGTGCAGAGCGAAGGGTGGGAAATGCCTTTTATAAAACCATCGGATCAGCCAGGCATGGTGGCTCACACCTGTAATCCCAGCACTTTGGGAGGCTGAGGTGGGCAGATCATCTGAGGTCGGGAGTTTGAGACCAGCCTGACCAACATGGAGAAACCCTGTCTCTACTAAAAATACAAAATTAGCCAGGCGTGGTGGCACATGCCTGTAATCCCAGCTACTCAGGAAGGCTGAGGCAGGAGAACTGTTTGAACCTGGGAGGCGGAGGTTTCAGTGAGTTGAGCTCATGCCACTGCACTCCAGCCTAGGCAACAAGAGTGAAACTCGGTCTGAAAAAAAAAAAAAAAACAAACACCATGGGATCTCTGGAGACCCCACTCATTATCACGAGAACAGCATGGGGGTAATTGCCCCCATGATTCAATTACCTCCCACTGGGTTCCTCCCACGACACATGGGATTATGGGAACTACAACTCAAGATGAGATTTGGGTGGGGACACAGCCAAAGTATATGACGGGTAAACATGAGTAAATGTTTTTCTGAGTTTTTCTGAGTTGTTTTTAGCAGAGTATTAAACCTGAAAGGAGGTCATAGAAACCCCTGAATTTGTAGCCAAGCTGGACATTAGTTATGGGTACCCTGGAGACCCAGGACTGGTGAGGACTGGTGTCTGAAGTGAGGACAGTCTTGTGAGACTAAGCCCTTTAACTTGTGGATTCTGCACTATGAGTAGTTAGTGTGTAGACCTTTATATTCTAGATAAAAGTTTTTTGCAGGATGTGTGGTTTGCAAATATTTTCTCCGGTCTGTGATTTGTCTATTCATCGTTTTAGCAGGAAGTTTCACAGAGCAAAGGTTTAAATTTTTATGAAGTCTAATTTATAATTATTTCTTTTTATGGATTATTCCTTTGGTGTGCAGTCTAAGAACTATTTGCCTAGTCCTAGGTCTGAAGATTTTCTTCTATTTTTTTTCTAGAAGTTTTACAGTTTTATATTTTACATTTAAGTCTTTGATCCAGTTTGAGTTAATATTTGTATAAAGTGTGAGGTTAAGGGTTTTGTTTTTGTTTTTGTTTTTGCCTATGGATATTCAATTGCTCCGACACTATTTATTGCAAAGACCATCTCTTCTTCCTTTTTAGATTGTTTTCCTTCTTTTGTCAAAAACAATTGGGCATGTTTATGTAGATATATTTCTGGGTTCTCCAGTCTGTTCCATTGATCTATGTTTCCATTCTTCTGCCAGTACCACCCTTTCTTGATTACTGTAGCTACATAGTAAGCCTTAAAATCATAAAGAGTGATTTATAGTTCTTTTTCAAAATTGTTTTGGTTATTCTTAAAGCCTTTACCTTCCCATATAAATTTTAGAGTAAATTTCTCTATGTCTACAAAAAATGGTGATGATTTTTGGGTAAGAATTGTGTTAAACCTATACAGCTCAATTTAGGAAGAACTGACCTGTTTACTATGTTGAGCCTTCCAATCTGTGAACATGTTGTGTCTCCCCAAGTATTTAGGTCTTCTTTTTTGTAATTAGCATTTTGTAACTTTCTTTATACAGATTCTGTACATGCTTTATTACAGGGGTCTCCAACCCCCGGGCCACAAACCAGTACTGGTCTGTGGACTCTTAGGAACTGGGCCACACAGCGAGAGGGGAGTGGTGGGCGAGCTGGCATTACCACCTGAGCTCCACCTCCTGTCAGATCAGTGGCATTAGATTCTCATAGGAACACAAACCCTATTGTGAACTGCTCCTGCAAGGAGTCTAGGTTGCATGTTCCTTATGAGAATCTAACTAATGCCTGATGATCTGAGGTGGAACAGTTTCATCCGCAAACCATCCTCCCCACTCCACCTCCTGCCAGTTCATGGAAAAATTGTCTTCTATGAAATTGGTCCCTGGTGCCAAAAAGGTCACTGCTTTATTAGATTGACACTTACATATTTCATTTTCTTTGAAGCAATTGTAAATGGTATTGTGTTTTCGATTTTGGTTTCCATTTGTTCATTGTTACAATATAGGAATTCAGTTGATGTTTGTGAGCTGATCTGTATTTTGCAATCTTACCAAACTCTTAGTTCTAGGAATGTTTTTGTAGATTTCTTAGAGTTTTCTACATAGATAATCACGTTATCTGAAAATAGAGACAGTTTCATTTTCTTTTCTCCAATCGGTGTGCCTTTTAATTCTTCTTCTTGCCTTATTACAGTTCATAAAACTTCTAGTGCTATGTTGAATAAGAGTGTAAGAGATGACATTCTTTTCTTTCTTTTTTTTTGAGATGGACTCTCCCTCTGCTCTGTTGCCCAGGCTGGAGTGCAGTGGCACGATCTCGGCTCACTGCAAGTTCTGCCTCCCGGCCTCCGGGGTTCACACCATTCTCCTGCCTCAGCCTCCCGAGTGGCTGGGACTACAGGCGCCTGCCACCACGCCCGGCTAATTTTTTGTATTTTTGATAGAGACGGAGTTTCACCATGTTAGCCAGGATGGTCTCAATCTCCTGACCTCGTGACCCACCCGCCTCAGCCACCCAAAGTGCTGGGATTACAGGCGTGAGTCACTGCACCTGGCCAAGAGGTGACATTCTTGCTTTTTTCCCAATCTTAGAGGAAAAGCATTCAACCTTAAGTATTCGTCCTTAAGAATGATGTTAGCTGTAGATTTTCCCAAATGCTCTTTATAAGGCTGAAGAACTTCCCCTCTGTTCCTGAGAGTTTCTGGGTGTTTTTGTTTTTGTATTTTGGTAAATTTTGAATGGATGTTGAATTTTGTGAAATACGTTAGCCACATTATTGATATTATCATGGTTTTTATTCTTTAGCTTCTTGATATAATAAAATATATTGATTTTTAAATACTGAACAACACTTGCATACCTGAGTAAATCCCCCTTGATGGAGATGCATTATTCTTTCTATTGTTGAATTTGATTTGCTAACATTTTTGTGTCTACACTTGTGAGAGATATCGATCTATGCTATTCTTTCTTTTTCTTTTGATGCTATCTTTGTCTGGTTTTGATATCAGAGTAATTCTGGTCTCATAAAGTGTATTGGAGAGTGTTCTCTTCTATTTTCTGGAAGACAGACAGTGTGTAAAATTAGTGTTAATTCTTCTGTGAATGTTTGGTAAAATTCTCCGGTGAAACCATCTGGGCCTGGAGATTTCTTTTTTAGGAACTTTTAAATTATGAATTGAATTTCTTTACTACTTATAAGGCTATCCAGGTTATCAGCTTCCTCTTGATTGAGTTTTGATAGTTTATGGTTTTTAAGGGGTTGGTCAATTTCTTCTAAGTCGTTGAATTTATGAGTATAAAGCTTTTCATAGTATATTGGATTTCCAGGGCTGCTGTAATGAGTACCACAAACAGGGTGGTTTAAAACAACAGAAATGTATTGTCTCACAGTTCTAGAGGCCAGGGCCTGAAATCAAGGAGTCAGCAGGGCCATGCTCCCTCGAGACCCATGGGGAGAATCCTTGCTTGTCTCTTTCTAGCTTTGGTGGCTGCTGGCAACGTGCAGTACTTCTTGGTTTGTAGCTGCATAACTCCAACCTCTGCCTTTGTTGTCACATGGCATTCTCCCTGTGTGTCTCAGTCCTCACATGGCCTCTTCCTATAAGGACATCATCATACTGGATTAGGAGCCCACCCTGCTCCTTGATGACCTCATCTTAACTAATTCCACCTGCAATGACGCTGTTTCCAAATAAGGTCACATTCTGAGATATTGGGGGTTAGGACTTTAACATTTCTTTTTGGGTTGGGGGAATACATTCACCTCATAACAGTAGTCTTCCTCTATTAGCCCTTTAATGGCTGCGGGATCTCCCCTGTTTAATTCCCGATATGGGAGATTTGTGTCTTCTCTCTTTTTACCTGTGTCCATCTCACTAGAAGATTTTCAATTTTATTAATTTTTTTTACAAAAACCAGCCTTTTGTTTAATTTTCTCTGTTGCTTTCCTGTTTTCAATTTCATTGGTTTTCACTGATATCTTTACTATTTCCCTTCTTCTGCCTATGATGGTTTGTTTGGCTTTTCTTCTAGTTCCCTGAGATTGGAACTTGGGTCATTTATTGGACCCTCACCACCCCCCGAGGGGTCTCAGGAGGCACCGCGAGGTCCAGCCTGGCTGCATTCTGCATGGTGTCAGCTCCTGCCCTGCTTCCTCTCCACCGCCTGTATCTGGAATGATAAAGAAGATGATGTATGGGAAATTCAAGTATTTGAGCTATACCTAGAGTAAGCCCTCCCCTCCCTCTTTCTCCCAACCTTCAAAAAGTTAGCGGTATCATTTCCTTACAAGAATTTTGTTCTTTTACTCAATAATAACTTCAAAATGAAACCTCGATACATTATAAATGATGTCAGTAATACTAAGGACACCTTTGGCACCCTACTTTTAGATTTCCCCTTAGGTCTGCCCCACATTTTTTTGGTGGAGCCTCAGAGGCCACCGCTCTTTTCTCTTTCTGGTTGCTGATCTATGCTCTTTCAATGTGACTAGAAGAGCAGATTCAGCTACATAGGTCTTTGGGACTTACGTGTTTGCATCTTTGGGGGAATGTTATCAGAAATTTGGATCTAATATGCAATATCCATCTACACTCTGGATTAAAATAATCACATTGGATTAGTCAAACACGAGTCACTGTGGTATTTAGAATAAAATAGATAAGTCAAAGAGTCTGCATTGAAATAACGTTGAAGTTCAACTTGCAATGTTTTAGAGAATGCATGCTTTCTGGATGTTTTGAGCGGAGAATATAATTATGCTTCAGTAAGTGAGCTACTAAATTGAAGAAGTATAAAAAACTACCTTATGAAATTGTGAAGTAGAAAACAATCTTTTCTTTAATGTCTACAAATAGGTTTTTAAGGTCCTTTTTGCATGCTCAGTACAGGTCAATATCAGAATTGCTCATTATAGTTCTTTGCCTCTGCCTTGCTCCACTGACAAAGCTGAATCCCATGGAAACTTGGCCATTATGCTATAATTGCAATCAAACAGGATTTGGAGCAATTGTTACTAGAAACTTGAAAAACTGGGGGTGGCAGAGGAGAAAAGGCTATGCCAGGAACCAGGACAAATACTTTGATTCACAGTTAGGCCATATCATTGCCATGGGCAAGGGATGAAAAGATTGTTTGACTAAAGAAGACCTGCATCAAAGGGAGTATCTACAGGGTTATTGAAAAACGCATAGGTGATGGGAAATTGGTCTTGACACTTTTTTTATTTATAAAAATTTATGAATGCCTTTTTTATGATCTTGTGAGGTGAATAATGAGGGAATTGTTCTGAGACTTTTATACCTATGTCTGAGACACTATCTGATGGACATTATTCATTGTACATTTTTCTGTTCTCCCTGCTCTATCCTCCTACTTCCAATTTTTGGAACATTTTTAAACCTTGAGAAAAGTTAAAAGAATAATATGCTTTTCCCCATAGTTTCTTCTCTTTCTGTATACCTTTTTTCTGACTTCTTACTAATTTTTTTCCCCTGATGACAGCCTACCGTTGAATTTTTTTTTAACACTGTAGAAACAGCCTTTATTGGTTGCAACATGGATTGGAAGAGGAGGGTGTATGATAGCTCCCACTCCTGGGGCAGCACCCACAGACTCAGTCGCCACTTTCCAAAAAGCTAAAAAGAAATCTTATTGTGTATATTTAAGGTATACAACATAATGTTATGGGATACATATAGACAGAAAAATGGCTTCTGTAGTGAAGCAAATTAACATACCCATCATCTCCTATAGATAGCCTTTTTTATGTGTGTGGCAAGAGCAGCTAAAATCTACTCATTTAGCAGAAATCCCAAATACTGTACAATTTTATTAATAGTAGTCCTCATGTTGTACACTGGATCTCTAGACTTGCTTATTCCCCATGTCTGCTACTTTGTAACCTCTAACCTACATCTTCACATTTCCTCTCCCAGTCATTATTTTCTGAACCGCTGGAAAGTAAATTACAAAAACCATGGCACTTCATCCCTAAATATTTCATTATACTTCTCTCAAGAGTAAGAACATTCACTTTCATGTACAATGCAATGATCACATCTAAGAAAATTATCAGTAATTTCACAATATCATTTAATATACTGTGTATATTCAGATTGCCACAATTGTCCCCAAAAGGTTTTTTATGGCTGTGTGTCTTTTTCAATCCAGGAGCCAATCAAGGTTCATGTTTTACCTTTTTTTTTTGAGACGGAGTTTCACTCTTGTTGCCCAGGCTGGAGTGCAATGGTGCAATCTCGGCTCACCGCAACCTCCACCTCCTGGGTTCAAGCGATTCTCCTGCCTCAACCTCCCGAGTAGCTGGGATTACAGGCATGTGCCACCACACCTGGCTAATTCTGTATTTTTAGTAGAGAAGGGGTTTCTCCATGTTGGTCAGGCTGGTCGGGTACTCCCAACCTCAGGTGATCTGTCCTTCTCAGCCTCCCAAAGTGCTGGGATTACAGGCATGAGCCACCACGCCCGGCCCATGTTTTACTTTTTATACCTGGTATATTTTTTAATCTATTTTATACCTGGTATATTTTTAATCTAGAATACTATCTCCTCTCTTGCCCTTTTTCTCTCATCAAATTGTCTGTTTTGTAGGATTGGCAGATTTAGAAAATTTAGAAAAGGATGCTCAGTTAACCTGAATGTCAAATAAACAATGAATCATCTTTTAGCATAAAATGTCCCGTGCTCATACTAAAAGCTAATTTGTTATTTATCTGAAAATCAAATTTAACTCAGTATCCTGTATTTTATCTAACAACTCTGCTTTTTAAAAAGTTCAGACTGCCGGGTGCGGTGGCTCATGCCTGTAATCTCAGCTACTGGGGAGGCTGAGGCAGGAGAATCACTTGAACCCGGGGCCGGGGGGAGGTTGCAGTGAGCCGAGATCTCGCCACTTCATGCCAGCCTGGGTGAAAGAGCGAAAATCCGTCTCAAAAGATAAAAAAAAAAAAAAGCTCAGACCAGTTCTATTATAGAGTAGCTCAAATTCTGGATTTGCTTGTTTTCTAGTCATTTGATTTTGTAAACATTTTTTACAAAAATTTCTAGATGATGTTGCATATTTCTTATTGCCTCACACTGGGTGGTACGTATCTACAAGTCTCATTAATTACTGGCTAAAGACGGTGACTGCAAATCTCTCTGGTTGAAAGCACTTTCTTTCTTTTGGAATTATTAAATAATTGTGGAGTAATATTCTGAGAACAGGTGAATACTCTGAGACCAGGTGAGATGTTCTCAATCATCTTCTGCACAATAATTTTAACATTCATTAGTGATCACTTCCTCAATTATTTCCTTGTGGGTTATGAAATAATTTTTTAATGTTAGCATTCCTTCTAGTTTTATTACTAGCTGGCATTCATCTGTAAAGAAGAATTTTCCTTCTTTAATGCTCTTTTGTAGTATCACTATATACTAGTGGAATTTTAAAAATTCAATTTGTTATAATTCGTTACTGTCGTTATTCTGTTATTGCTCAAATTACGCCAGTTTTGGCCAATGGAAGCCCCTTGCAAGTCTGCTCTTTGGTCCCTTGGATATAACCCCATTTTGTCCTTTCGTGCTTGCTTTCATCCTATCATGAAAAAATGTCCCAGGCTCATTTTTGTGCTCTTGTTGTCTAGGAGGAATCAGCCTTTTCCCCTGTCAGTTTTGTGCCTCCCTGCTCCAAATCCATTGTCTCTGCCCTGCTCTGTGATACTGCTGGAGATGGACCCTGTGAACGTGCTTCCTTTGCCAACTGGCACAGTGGCAAGCTTTGTCAGTAGAGGGCACTGGAGGGACACTGCTGTGCACACAGAGCACCTTGTGGCACTCACCCTCCAGCTAGCCTCCTGCTCAGCTGGCCTGCCCCATGGTTTTCCTTCTTTGCTGGCCTCAGTCTGCTGGAACCCCTGTGGGAAGTCTCTTGTTTTCCAACTTGAGCCCACCAGTTGGACCACTGTGGACCAGCTCTGACTCAGGATAACACAGCAGACTTCTCTGCCATCCCTTGGGCTGTGACTGTACCCTTTCCAGTGAAGTCTGAATCTCAGGAGAGGGCCTCTCCTTTTGCAAGTTGTTCCTTATATGGGCACTTTCAGCCCCATGGTATTGTTAATGTTCTCTTATTTCTCTTATTCTCTCTGGTTATTCTCCTCTTTCTAGTTAATAATTCTTTAAATTAAATTTTCCCTGTTCAAATGACTGGTCTCTTTTCTGTCTTCTGAATGAACCCTGACTAATAGAGAAGTGATGCAGGGAATAGTTGTTAAATAGTACCACTATTCAAATAAGTGATTCCAGGAGTAACTTGGTCATGCCCTTGGATTTGAGCACAGTGCCAAGCCCCTTGCCAAGCATGTGGGAACAACACCATCAATCCAGCCATCACCTGCAGGTGAGTGTGAGGAAGTGCCCACTGCAGCAAGTATGCTGGGAGCCTAAGGGGCTGCTGCACCTGACTAATGATATCTACAAGGACTATGGCATGGCATTGTCTTCTCATCATTAGAAGAGGTTTCTCCACACCCAGACTGTGAAGTTACTCACTCATGTATTTATCTAATATCTTTATAGTTTCCTTTTAAATTTATTGATTATTTAAAAAATTGATATGCAATAGTTGTCTGTATTTTGGGGGCACATATGATGTTTTTGTGTGTGCATATAGTGTGTAATGATCCAATGAGCATAACTGAGATATCCATTTCCTCAAACATTTATCTTTGCTTTATGTTGGGAACACTTGAATTCTTGTCTTTTAGGGTTTTTAACAAATGTATATACAGTAAATTATTGATAGTTACCCTACTGTACTGTCAAATGCTAGATCCTATTTCTTCTACCTAACTGTATATTTGTACCCATTAATCAACTTTTCTTCATCTGCCCCTTACCCTCACCCTCCCCAGCCTCTTGTAGAACCACCAATTTACAGTCTATCTCTATGTGATCCACTTTTCTAGCTACCACATATGGGTGAGAACATGCGATATTTGTCTTTTTGTGCCTGTCTTATTTCACTTAATATAATGACCTCCAGTTCCATCCATGTTGCTGCAAATGACAGGATTTAATTTCTTTTTATGGTCAAATAGTACTCCATTGTGTGTATATACCACATTTTCTTTATCTATTCATCATGAGGGACATTTACATTTATTGCACATCTTGGCTATTGTGAATAGTGCTGCCATAAACATTGAAGTTCAGATATCTCTTCCACATATTGATTTGCTTTCTTTTGGTTATATGCTCAGCAGTGGGATTGCTAAATAATATGGTAGTTCTATTTTTGTTTTTTTGAGAAGTCTCCATACAGTTTTTCATAGTGGCTGTACTAATTTACAGTTCTCACCAGTGTACGAGTGTCCTTCTTTCCCCGAATCCTGGCCTGTGTCTGTTATTTTTTGTCTCTTTGATAAAAGCCATTTTAGCTTGGGTGGGATGATATCTCATTGTGGTTGTGATTTGCATTTTCCTGGTGATTAGTGATGTTGAGCATTTTTCTGTATACCTGTTGGCCATTTGCATGTCTTCTTTTGAGAAATGTCTATTCAGATTTGTGCCCATTTTAAATTGGATTATTTGAGTTGTCTTTTTTTTTCTTTTTTTTTTGATATTAAGTTGTTTGAGTTCCTTATGTATTCTGGATTTTAATTCCTTCTTAGATGTATAGTTTGTGCATGTTTTCTCTTGGTATTTTTGACAACATAGGCGAACCTAGAGGATGTTAAGTTAAATAAGCCAAGCACAGAAGGAAGAGTACTGCATGATCTCACTCATATGTGGAATCTAGAAAAGTTGACCTCATAGAAGTAGAGAGTAGAATAGTGATTACCAGCGGCTGGGAGAGTGGGAAGGTGGATGAGGGGAGGTTAGTCAATGGGTACAAAGTTACAGTTAGCTAGGAGGAATAAATTCTAGTATTCTATTGCAAAGTAGCTTGGCTATAGTCAATAATAATGTATTGTATACTTCAAAATAGCTAGAAAAGAGGATTGAATGTTCTCAGCACAAATAAATGACAAGTGTTTCAGGTGATGGATATGATAATTACCCTTTGATAATTATACAATGTATATATGTAACAAAACATCACACCGTACCCCATAAATATGTACACTTATTATGTATCAATTGAAACCAAAATAAACCTTTAAAAACATTATATAGGCAGTAAAAAAGGTTATGTTTTATTAATTGCTGGACAACCGTGGGAAAACAAATAAGCAATTGACACCACCAAATTCTTATTACATTCAAGATAAAAGATTTATTCACACCACAAAAAGATAATCACAACAAAATATACACTAACTTAAAAAACAAAAGATTATAGTGACATAAAATGTTATATTCTCTTTTTAAGTGGGTAAAAGTATTTTGTTTGCTTCTACATAAATTTCTATTCATGAGAGAATAACAAATATTAAAATACAGTGATAGTTTGCATTTCTTCTATAGAATGAACATAGACATAACCCTGAAGCTTTTAGTTTACAGGGAGTTTCCATGAAGCCACAAACTAAACTAATTATCAAACACATTAGTTATTTCCAGACTCAAATAGATACACATTCAACCAATAAACTGAGAAAGAAGCATTTCATGTTCTCTTTCATTTTGCTATAAAGCATTTTTTCTTTTGACTAAATGCAAAGTGAGAAATTGTATTTTTTCTCCTTTTAATTGACCTCAGAAGATGCACTATCTAATTCATGAGAAATACGAAATTTCAGGTGTTTATCTTCTTCCTTACTTTTGGGGTCTACAACCAGCATATCTTCATGGCTGTGAAATTCATGGCTGTGGAATTCACGGCTGACTTTGGAAAGTTCCTGACTATCAATCACATCGGAATGCTCATTGCTCTCATCATTGGCTTTCCGCTTATATAATCTGGACTGCTTGTGGCTGTGGGTTTCAGCACTCTGGTCATCCAGCTGACTCGTTTCATAACTGTCCTTCCCACGGCTGTCCCAATCAGAAGGCGCGTTCAGGTCCTGGGCAACGGGGATGGCCTTGTATGCACCATTCAACTCCTCGCTTTCCATGTGTGAGGTGATGTCCTCGTCTGTAGCATCAGGGTACTGAATCACGGCACAAATGAAGAATAATTATATGAACGGCTAGGGATGGGAATATGGTAATCCTTTTCCACTCTCTAGCTTTTAGGTCATCTTATACTAAAAATTGTCTAAATCTGGCTGAAATAATACTAGCATGTTACTTTGTATAGTACTTTACCAAGGCCTTTCACATATGTCATCTCATTTAGTTTAATAACTACATCACTTACATATGTAATGAAACCTATGAGGTAGGTTTCATTATATTGAAACCTACATAAAGAGGAAGTGAATTGTTAGTTAAAAAGTAAAGAGAATAGTAAACGGCAAGGCTATGTCAAATCCAGATTCTGTGACTAAGGATTCAGTGTAATTTGCAACTACAATTCCTCTTAGGTATTTAACTTCAAAACATGACCATTATTTTTTTTAAATAATTGGTGTTTTCCATTTATTTTAATCTGAAAATAAGTGATCCAGGATTTCAAAAAGTAGAATTGTGTTTGAGAATCAAATCTAGAGAGAAATTATGTAGACTTACAAAAACCGCCAAGCAGAAAAAGATTTGTATTCAATGGTCATAAAGTAGAATATGAATGAATTCTTGCTGAATGGATGAATGAATGGATGAATGAATGAATGAATATGCAAACTGTGGTTTCCTAGACTTGAGCGCTAGTCAGAACCATCAGGTGTGTCTGTTAAAGGATTTACCTGGATGTCAGGTCTGCGAAACTTCTTAGATTTTGACCTCAGTCCATAAACCACACTATCACCTCGGCCATCATATGTGTCTACTGTGGGGACAACTGGAGTGAAAACTTCGGTTGCTGGCAGGTCCGTGGGAAAATCAGTGACCAGTTCATCAGATTCATCAGAATGGTGAGACTCATCAGACTGGTGAGAATCATCAGTGTCATCTACATCATCAGAGTCGTTCGAGTCAATGGAGTCCTGGCTGTCCACATGGTCATCATCATCTTCATCATCCATATCATCCATGTGGTCATGGCTTTCGTTGGACTTACTTGGAAGGGTCTGAAAATTAAGATGGCCGGGAAAATTAATATATGGGTTTTTATTTTCCCTTAGCCTTTATAGCACATTAGTCTTTTACTATCTTTCTTTTTATTTAGTTTCAGAATCTTTGCATTCACAGTACATACCATGGCTTTTAGGAGCTAAAGTGAGCATCTTCCAATTTCTCTTTTAACACAGGGATTAATAACATTCTGAAGAACATTTCTTACTTTGCAACAGAAATTATTTTTATAGATATTTTCAAGCCAAATATGTGAGTATAATCTTCATGTCAATAACATTGTTTTTCCTTATACATATTAAACATTATTTACTAAATTCAATGATGTAATAGATACAGATACATAATTATGAGACTGGTTTTTTTATTTGAAATGAGATTTATCAAAAGAGAAGAGTATCCATATTTTAATGTGTGTACTAAAATCTATAACCACTTTCCTATTAACATGGATAATTGAAAGGTGACTCTGTTATGCATGTGTGTATAAACTGCAGCTCAAAACTGCCCATTGAATTAAACAACTAATGTCTATCAAATTTCAAATTGACAAATATATTGGGTAATTTATCTAACTTGCTTTAATATTCTTAGTATATTCAAATTGAATCTTAAGGAAAATAAATTTACTCTTTGCTTAGCAAATATATGAATGATCCTAATAAAAAGAATAGTTGTCAAATAAACTATTTTATTAGGAAAGAAAACTTTCCTAAAGGCAAAATCTTAGCTTTGATATGCATTAATTAGATGCTTATTAGATATTAGATATCTACAAAATACCTTAAATAAATTGCAAGCAGATTAATGTTTCAAATAACAGGCATTAATAAACATCTTCTGTAATGCTAAACTTATCCGAGGAAACCTAGTATTTCTGATATTTAGTAAATACATGTTTTATTTATGAGCAAGTTTTAGACTGCCAATTAGCTGGAAAACTTGCTAATGAAATTTCATCAGAAGAGAATCCAGGCAATGCCTTCTTTCATCTCTTCAAGGCATGATGGGCCTCTGATTGAAAATGAGAACTTACCTCTTGTTTAAAGTCATTGGTTTCTTCAGAGGACACAGCATTCTGAAGAAGGAATGGCACGTGTTAGTGCGCATCACACATGCCTAGCTTTTTTATTCAAAAGTTAACCTTTTTAATCCAAAGCAGTTTTTATTTTTCAGCCTCATCTGTGGATGGCTTAACACAGAGAGAAGCCAACATGGCAGATCAGTCAATGTCCTAAGCACATGTTTGCCAGCAGGCAGGCAGGATTCATCTGAGCAGCCCAAATGGCCTGAGTGTGGCTATCTTTCATCACTGTAGTTTAATTATGAGAAGTTTAAAAATACCTGTGGGGCTAGGAGATTCTGCTTCTGAGATGGGTCAGGGTTTAGCCATGTGGCCACAGCATCTGGGTATTTGTTGTAAAGCTACAAAAAAGTTGCATGTTTATCATTATTAAAAAAAGAAATGTAGGGATGAATGGAAAAAACAACCATTCTTCACTAGTCTTGATGGAAGCATATAGTCACCCGGACCCTTAGGTACCTTTTTGTAATTTTTTTTTTTTTGCAGATTCATTTAACAAACTCTTATGTAGCACTTACTGTGGGCTAGGCACTCTTTCAAATTGCTTTACAAATATGAACTCATTTGATCCTTTCATTCCCCTATGAGATAGGTATCATTATTATTCCCACCTTACAGATCAGAAAACTCAGCCACAGTGCAGTTAAGTGGTAGGAAATGGCAGAGCCAGGCAGGGTTCAAACGCAGGCAAACTAGCTCTTAACACCGAACTTCACACTGTGCTTTCTTTTTGTATGTTTGCTGGCTGAATTTTCCTCTCAGATAAAGCACATCTAAACCAGAAGTGACCTTAATTACTGTTAATCTTCATTGTGTCCAGTCCATGGAACAAGAAGGAACTCTCTAAGACTGTGCTAATTCAGTATCCTCTAACCACATGGAGCTATTTAAATTTAAGTTAATTAAAATGAAATGGCTAGGCACGGTGGCTCACCCCTGTAATCCCAGCACTTTGGGAGGCCGAGGCAGGCGGATCACGAGGTCAGGAGATCGAGAACATCCTGGCTAACACAGTGAAACCCCGTTTCTACTAAAAAAAATAAAAATAAAAAAAAATAGCCGGGCGTGGTGGCAGGCACCTGTACCCCCAGCTACTGGGGAGGCTGAGGCAAGAGAATGGCGTGAACCCAGGAGGCAGAGCTTGCAGTGAGCCAAGATTGCGCCACTGCACTCCAGCCTGGGTGACAGAGCAAGACTCCATCTCAAAAAAAAAAAAAAAAAAAAAGAAGATAAAAATTCAGTTCCTCAGTTGCACTAGCCCACATTTTGAGTGCTCAATAGCCATATGTATCTTATCAGCCAATGTAGAAATATAATATTAAAATCATTGCACAAAAGTTCTATTGCTGTAAGGTGCCAAAGATGTAAATGAAATGGATTTTTCTTTAGCCAAGTTATTTATCTGGAAAATACTGATAATATGCTACTGCAAAGGAGTGGAAATTGCTCTGAGTAAGTATCATCTGATCTGCTGAATCATCCAGGGCCAATCATTACATTTCCCTGTCACTGAGAATGAGAACTCTGGGGGTTGCACAGAGTTCCTTCTGCAGCCACCTAAGGGGTGGATGAGTAGAGAGAGAACCAGTCAGAAGTACTTGGAGTTTCTCTCATGGCTGGCTCTAACCAGAGGAGCTTAGTATTGGGCTTCTCCGAAAGGTTTTGCTGAAAGAAGGGGTTCCTTGCTTTAAGAAGATGAAAAAACAGCCGGGCGCAGTGGCTCACGCCTGTAATCCCAGCACTTTGGGAGGCCAAGGAGGGTGGATCACGAGGTCAGGAGATGGAGACCATCCTGGCTAACACGGTGAAACCCCGTCTCTACTAAAAATACAAAAAATTATCCGGGCGTGGTGGCGGGCGCCTGTAGTCCCAGCTACTCAGGAGAATGGGGTGAACCTGGGAGGCGGAGCTTGCAGTGAGCCGAGATCACACCACTGCACTCCAGCCTGGGCGACGGAGCGAGACTCCGTCTCAAAAAAAAAAAAAAAAAAAAAAAAAGAAGGCGGAAAAACAGTGAGACCAGATGAGTTCAGAGTTTTTCTCTTCACTTTTTCATATCTATCTATCTATTCTCATGACACATGTAATACAGGCTCAGAGAGAATGGATGTATAAGTTACATTTATAATTTTTAAAAACTAATATGAAGAAAATAAAGGTAAGCAAAATGAATAGACTAAAAACCACCCAGTAATCCTAACACTCACAGATAACCAGTGTGTATTTTCAGGCATATATCCTTAGAGACTTCCCCAATTTTTTACTAGCTTTAAGTTTCTGGGATTCTAGAAGGCTGAGCCTTGAGCTCTTCACGTATTTCTTAAATTGTTATAGCTCCACGTGCCTTCTAAAATGCATCTTTGCCATATTTTCGTTTATTAAAAAGACGCTAATTCTTGCCTCAAATAGTATGACCTCTATCTTCTCTGGAGATGTTAATTTTTCTGGTTTATTATTAGGATTCAACACCTGTATTTTCAAATCAGTTGAAAAACAGACACACACACCCCTCCACACACAAACGAACACAGAATACTTCTTTTAATGTCTTCATTAAGCAGTCTAATTGCAGTGACCCCCAAGGCAGCTCTATTTTGGCCTTTATTCTGTTCAACTGGAATTGAACTCTGTGTGCCTTTTTGTCCAAGCTTCTGGGGACAATGCCCATTTGTTGTTTGGCTGGCACAGTTTCATCTGTTGTGGAGGGGTAGGTACATCTTTAGTGCTGGTCAAATAATTATAATAAAGAGTTTGGTTGGTCTTATGTTTGGTTAGAAAATGTGATCTAACATCAGCTGACAATCACAATAGATACAAACAGCACACATAGACTTTCTTTTCACAATGGGCTTCTCAGCTAATATCTCAGACAATATTGTGAATATTATGGTCATACAAACAGTTCTGACTAATATCCAATGTGAATTTTAAACTTAGCAATCCACTAAACAAAGCAAAAGCTGGAATTTTCTGCTTTTAGATCAGTATGTGGACTAATGGAAAAAAAGTCACACAACTTCATATAACTTATCTTACATGCGATAACTCATCATACATGCCTAGATATTATTATATTTAAAATATCTGGGTTGGTTTTATAAACTTATATTTATTAAAAACTATACTGTGCTTGGTACTGGCCTAGATTCATAGCAGGCAGTCAATCAATACTTGTAAACCAATGGATTTGACTGAGAAGATAAGTAATATCGCAGCAAATACGTTTCTTGCACCTCTCGCCATAATTGAGTAAATGATTTAACTATATAAAAACATAAAAGATGCTTACCTGCTTTTCCTCAGAACTTCCAGAATCAGCCTGTTTAACCTTAGAAACAGAAAAGATGAAGAAAGATTACAAGAATGTCCTCCTAGCACATGGAAGCACACAATTCAGTTATTTTCAGGAATTTTCTTTAAGATGCAACTGTACTCACTGGTATGGCACAGGTGATGCCTAGGAGGCAAAAGCAAATCACTGCAATTCTCATGGTAGTGAGTTTTCCTGCAAAATATTTCATAAGGAATAGCTGACATCTTCATAGGTTACAACAGTGATACCTTTTTATACTACCACATTACAAAATGATCACAAATAAAATATATTTTCTATAGAATCTTTTCTACTTCTTAGAGATGCCTTTTCTTTTTAGTATTATAGTCTTTCAAGTTAATATTTATATTGCCACCTATTATCCATCTTTCACTATTAGGCAAGGGAAAGGGAAATTTTGCAAGTCTGTATTTATTCAACTTTAAAATTTAGAGTTCCAGAAATTATACCATTACTACCTTATATATCTAGCTCTCTAAACCTACAAACAGATCAACAGTAACTTAATTATATTAATAAGCTAGTATGGGAATATTTTTTAGAGAAGAAAAAACTCACAGAAAAAAATGAAAAAAATTTGCTTTATCCATTTTTCCAACATGTACTTTAAATGTGACTTTTAGCTTAATTATCAAGTAGGTGCTACTTAGGTGAAATCAAACTATCTCTGAAATTTGTTATTTAAGTAAGATGTTCTAAAAATTTGAAATTCAAAGGAAAACATTGAAAATAGCCAACAGCTTTTCTATTTGTAATAATAAGCCTACACAGTGTCATACAGGTATCTTGGTGAATATTTTAACAGCTAAATTTAGCAGTGGCATATTCAGAAAGGGTTTTCTTCCCCTTAAAAGTGAGATACATCATTTAAAAAATAGCATTGTAATTGGTTTAATTAGCATAAAAGATCCCTTTTCTTTTAAATTCCTGCACAGTCACCCACTGAAAATTATATAGGTATAATTATTCCAAAGGGGAATTTAATTTTACTATTTTCTGATTAGCATCGGTGGTTTCCGTTCTTTTGAGGACCCAGTGGAAGTATTTTTAAGTTTTAAATTTGATTGGCATTCAAAATATCTAGACACCTTTGTTCCAGGAGACCTGCAATGTATCTAATCTGCTTATTAAAAAGGCTAGAAAATTTAAGTCTGTTTAACAGCATTACAATTAAAAATATTTTTCCTTAGAATTTGGACTTCCCCATGAAATTCAGCTGAATGCACAACCCAGTAGCAAACTGAAGCTGTACCTTGGTCGGCGTTTGGCTGAGAAGGCTGCAACTGGCCTGAGACGAGTCTGGTCCCGACGATGCTGTGCTCTGCCTCCTCCTGCTGCTGCTGACAACCAAGCCCTCCCAGAATTTAAATGCTGCTGCAGACATCCTCCACCAACACAGGGAGGCGGAGAGATTGTGTCATGAGGTTTTCTGCCACTGCCCAGCCCACCTGCTCCCACACTTCCCCCTCTGGTTTTGTGGTTAAAACAAAAAAAAACAAAAACGCACACACACAATCTACAGTTAAAACATTACTTATGTACAATATCATTAACTAGCTTTTTCATTTACGGGATGGGCATTCAGCATCCAGGAAGAGCACTTAGGGATCCCATGAAAAAGGGAGAAAGTAGGGAAAAACATTAATGTAAAATTAAATAGAATGGATTTTTGTTTCTTTCGGTTTAAGTAACATAAAGGTAATATCTGCAACCACTCTTGCCTGTATGATTGTACTTATTGAAGAGCCAGAAGGCTATTGTTCAAGCCTGCAAGGAGTTCAGAAAACTTGCCTCTGTCCTTTACTACTCAAGCTTAGCTTTGTGATTTCGAGTATGCAGTAGCTTGTTACTTAGACAAATGGCACTAGTGACATTAAAATATAAAATTCTATATGAAATAGAAGAATGGTAATTTATTCTAGATGTTGCAGAAGTAAAGCAGTTTCTGACTGAGAGCAGGATGACTGCTTGAGAGGGCTGCTTCAGGAGCCAGACCGTGGTTCTGAATTCCGCTGTGTCACTGCTGACCTGTGCAACCTTGGGCAAATCGCCCAGCCTACCTATCCTTGTTCCCTCATCCATGAAATGCAATACTATTACCTAGGTCATGGGGTTTTTGAGGGGTTTAAATGAATTAGTATGTTAAACTAGCAATGCTTAGCACATATTAGATGCAAATGCTCTGCGTATCTTAAGGACTATATGTGTGTTAACTATTATGAAATTTTTAAGAGGGGCAGGCAGTCACGAATTGTAATGTCCTTTAAAAGAACAGGTTATTAAAATGAGAGTAGACGTAAGATCTTTAAATTGTATGCATCAATAAGGAAATTTTGCACATTTCTAAAGGAACAGATTCGATTTTGGAATCATCTTTTTTTCTAGTTTTTCTCCCAAGGTATGTAAAGTAGGCCACTTAAAAAGAAAAACATTTTTAAAAATTTCTGTATTAAAAAACACTTTACTAGGTATTTAAAAGGTGTCTGAATGAAAGAAAATTACAGGGAAAGTCCGAATATTAGAGCAGAATTCAGGGATAGCAGAGCTCTGGGTCCTTTTAAAATATTTAATATTGCCTTGAGATTACTTATCTTCATTTGCTTTCTCAGTTGTGAAATGCAGATTGCACTATTTATTTACCTTACACCTTTATTGTTAAGACTTGTGTGTAATTGAGATGAAAAATAAATGGTCCTATTTATTATTAGGTTGCTGCAAAAGTAATTGTGGTTTTTATTAGTCCTAAAGTGTCAGCTTCCTTTTGCCAAATATTACTTTTAATATAAATATAGATTAAATAATGTCTTGCAGTGATAGTGTATAGCTAATTCATAGGTTTCATGAACATTTGGTAGGGGGAAATATGTCTCCCTTAAATTGGATGTATTCCAGATGAATTGATATGATTGGTTTGTAGGTAATAAGCACCCATTTTAATAAGTAAGATGACGACTATCTCTATAAAATAGAAAGCACACAGATTATAAAGTTGCAAAATAGACTTCTTTTTTCTGCTTCTAAAAACTATTTTTTTCCTTTAAACATACCCGCATAAGCGTGTCATGTTGTCAATTTAGTGGAGGGAAGTCTGAAAATTCTAAAAACAACAAAATTTCCACAGGATTTACTGTAGTTTACTCTGTGCCCACGGGAATGATTCAATATGAAGCTAGAATTAATTATAGGAATAGATTATGCTGGAGCCCAGCCATCTTGAGATGAACCATACGACCCTTTACAGGACTCTTCTGGTCATAGCTCCGCAGTGCCACACGATGGCAGCATTTCTGAAAAAAGATTTCAGACCACAATCTGGTTCTACCAATTTTCTTAATTCCAGCGGGATAGAACACTCCTGTATTTAATGACAGGACTATATACAGCTGTGGAGCTCTCCATTTCTTGGAATGCCAGGTGAGGAAATATTTCCCAACAATGACCCGCTATGCAATCAGGGACAGAGACCCAGAGAACCAAAGCGTTCTTGTTTTGCTCTGTTGTTGCCTTAGGCAATCCCAAGTTGACACTATTGTCTCCTTCCCGACTTCTACACTCATTCAAAAAGTTCCTAGTCCCAAGGCCTCTCTCAGAGAAAAGGCTTGTGAATTCACGGGTAAAGAATGTGTCTGGGATGCTTTGGAGTTGAGAAGATAAAGTGATTTATAATGGGAGGCAATTCTGTAAAGTAGGAAATGGATGCTGCGTCATTCTGACTATCGGGGAGGTCATGTTTTGGGATGTTTCTTGCTGTTTGCACTCAAACATGCTGCTGCTGGTTGTTTTTTCTGAGTAGGATTTTCTGTCAGAATTAACATGTTAAATGATTTAAATCACAGTGGCTCTATCTGTAATATTTCCAAAGTTTCCATTCTTGATTGGCTAATGATTGGTTGTTAGAATCAAAAGGTCAAAATGCACAAATTCCCTATAAATCTTGTGAGTGGAAAGTAAAAAAAGTTTAGTTGTCAAACTAGAATGCAAAGAGTAATTTGTGATCTTAAATTATACACACTAAGAGGACACATGGAAACAAATAAAGAGCCTTAAGGTCTTTTTCCTGAATTACATGAAAATTCCCATATAATAAAAAGTAAGTGTTCAATGTCACTACTTTGGTGGACAACTTTATTAAACTCACTTCCAGTTTATTTGAACATTTCTAATTATATTTTACTTAGTAAAGTGTAACCAACTATTTCAGTGTTTTCAGCTCCACAGGTAATTATTTTTTTCCCTTGAGTCAAGGTTCAGACATGACTCTGATATTTTGGTAACACCACTAATCTGTCATAAAGAAGTTTGGAATTAAAGCTAATCGGAAGCCTAGCACCATTCATCATATATAGACTGGGAAAAGGGGCATTATTTATCACAGGGTAGCAAGCAAAGGTGGATGATAAGAGGGTGCTATTTTCAAGTTCAGACATGAAATTAGAGCATTTCAGAAATACAAAAAAAAAAAAACAAAAACACCATAAACTCTTTTATTCCATTGCTCAATAGCTTAGACAACAAAAGTCAGCTCCTGACAAAGTGGTCGTACCATTGGTAAACATTAGTTTCAATTTAAAACAAATAAAAAAAAGTTTTCCTTTAGACACATAGAACTGTTATGGAGTAAGTGCTCAATAAATTGTTGGTGATTGCCCACTCAGCCCTGCATCTATGACACGAATTCTGACCTTATAGTTTTTGCTTATGAATACAATGCATAGGCACTATGCTTGAATTCAGAGTATATCTCATATATTGATATCTAATATCTGCCTGTACTCAAGAATCTAGCATTTATTTCTTCATTAAAGTAGTATTAGTAACTCTGAGGACATTCTAATGCTCTTTAAATGATAGACTTTTTTAAGGTAGACTTAAATTACTAACTTTTTTTTCTTAAATGACACCATTCTTACCCTCATGGAGCCCATTTGTTCATGAAAATCAACTAGGAAATTTGAAACTTGAGTAACCAATGAGATTAAGGGGGTGTGGCTAAACAGTAAACTTGGCAGCACCCTGGGTAGAGAAGGTATATGGTAGAGACCCTGTGTCCACATTGGAGTTGAAGGGATGGGTATTCTGGGATTGGATCCAAACAGAAAGTCCCCCTTCCCACTCAACATCAACCACAGCAGCATAAACTCGAGACCTATAACAACCTGGGGAACAATAGAGGAGGCTGTAATCAGAGAGGATCCAAAGAGGGAGATAGAACAAGGTGGAAAAGCACAAATAGAAAGTCTAGCAGCTGCAGGAGGACCTTGTTTGTTCAGAAAAAGACATTTTGTGGCAATAAGCGGTCAGTGACAGTCATTTTGCAGATATATTTGAGGGGAGAAAATCATTCTCCGAAATTGGTTTATGAGAATTCTTGCTTAAAATCTGATGTTTGAGTAATTTTTGGTAGAGAATCTATCATAAGGTTGATATGAAAAGGTGACAATTTCAGTGCAAAAGAGAAAACAAAATCAAAAGAAAGGGGAGTAAAACTAGACAACAAAAGCAGCTCAGTCAGATATTTTTCTGGTTACACTTGGCTAAGGTTTTTTGTTTCGACAATTCTTGTCAAGGCATAGTTTACATTAATGCCCCTATCCCATAGCATAACATTTATGTTTCTTAAACCTGTAATTTAAAATATTCTATATTAAAATTTGATTTCTTCTTTAATGTTTGAATTCCTCATAGAGTGTAAGTTCCATGATATGCTAATCCCTCTGCAGATTATGTGCCAAAAATATTTATTCAGTGAAGAAATTTAGCTCAATTATGACATGTATATAGTTCTTACATAAATTGAGTTATTCTTGCTGATTATTTTCTGTTGCCTTCATAAAGCCCCAGATTAAACATATTTATTTATTTTTGAGACAGTGTCTCACTCTGTCACCCAGGCTGAAGTGCAGTGGCACGATCTCGGCTCACTGCAACCTCTGCCTCCTGGGTTCAAGCGATTCTTGTGCCTCAGCCTTCCAAGTAGCTGGGATTACAGGCATGCACCACCATGCCCAGCTAATTTTTTTTTTTTTTTTTTTTTAGTAGAGATGAAATTTTATCATGTTGGCCAGGGTGGTCTCAAACTCCTGGCCTTGAGTGATTGGCCCACCTCAGCCTCCCAAAGTGCTGGGATTACAGGCATCAACCACCGCTCCCGGCCTCCTGAATTAAACGTCTTCAGATTCCAATATAGATAGTGTTCCGCTTGAGTGAATTACACCTGAGAACTTCAGGCATGCTTCCTGTGCCTAAAAAGGACTGCCCAGGTGATTGCTATTTCTTACATAACATGAGGTCCTCTGGGGTCTGGCATTCTTCTGTCTCTCCAGCCTTATTTCTGCCCAACTTCTCTCCTTGTACTCCCTAAAACAATCATGCAGAGCCATGTGGGTTCCCCAGTGTGTCATTCTATTTCAGGTCTCCATGCCTTTACTCACATTGCATGGTCCTTATATCTAGAATATCCCTCCAGTCTCATCCGCACCTGTCTCTGAAATATTTGCACATCATGCATCAAAGCATCCCCTATAAAACCTTTTCTGGTCTAAATAGAAATAACCAACTCCCACTTTTTAACTCCTTCTGCAGCCTGCACTTGATCTAGCATAGCACCGATGAAGCTTTATTGCCTTAAATGTTTGTCCTCCTCACGCTAAAAAGCAAACTCCCAGCAGTCAGGGACTGGGATTTATTCATGTTTGTATCCACAGTTTCCTGTTAGGTGCTCTGTAAATGTTTAGAGGAACAAGTGAATGAAGGAGCATTATTTTAATAATGTTTAATCCCATGGTAGCCCAGGTAGCATGTGAGTTTAGTATAAACTCCAAGAGGCTGGAGCTTCTACTGGGTTCTTAAAATAATTTATGTATACATTTTAAAAATGCCATTGCAGAATTTGAAGAGCCTAGATTTTCTTGTCTCCCATCTCAAATTCTTTTCTATGGGGTTCTGGCATATCCTTTCTCTTGTCTAGGTCTCAAGTTCCTTGATAGAGTTAATCTGGATTATTTTAGAGGTCCATTTCAGCTCTAAAATTTTGTGATTTATGTTTCCTTTTCAAGTTCATGAGGAATAAAATATTGACACTACAACAAGAGGAGTAAACAGATGGTAGAAGTAGAGATGCTCTTGAGAGAAGTTCACACTGAAGAAAGATTTTAACTCAAAGAGTCTTTAATAGACCAGGGGACAGGTGAAGTCGAAGAGTTATGATGTTTTTAAGTAAAATATCATGTGTTTTGCTATATTTTAAACTATAGATAAAAATTAATGAGCATTATTATAATACTACTAATAAAAATAAAACTTTTTTTTAAAAAAAGGAGGTAAATCAATCCCAACCTACAATTTTAATAAATCAATCTTTCATGTTCTGAGAATTTTTTATTCTTACCTCCCACAATATGGGTTTTCTAGAGGCATTTTCCCAGTATGGGTCACATGAATTTCTTTCAGATTTCATTACCCAGAGTAGGGGATTGAGGAGAAACTGACTGAAGAGATTGGCTTGCCTCTTTCCTGGAAAATGCCTCTTGTGGTTTTTGGGGGTAGTTTTATTGCCAAACAGGTCAGGCATATAGGGCTTCGCCATAATCTGGAGATGTTTTTAGATTTTTCTTTCCCGCATTCACATCTCCTTCATTTCCAAGCATCTGTGGATTTTATTAGTCTAGATAACCTATTAATTTCACTTTGTATCTAATGATATTGTTCACGAGTCATCCAGAATCAGTTTGCCCTCTTTTCAGCCATTTCATGCTTAACGCAATTTCTGCTGCTTGTTTTTTCCCTAAGAAACAAGGGAATTTTCTGGTAATTATTATGCCCTTAACATTTACTTTTTCTACAGTAACAAAGAGTGAGCCCAAAACTTCTGTCTTTGCCTTTTAAAAGGAGAGATATTCAAAATAATAACAACAATAATAACAACAATAATGGTAATTGTATATATATTTATGGGACACCTGTAAAGTACTAGATTTAAAAATATGCATTTTGTCTAATATTCATAACGATGACATAAGTTTGGTATTATGACCTCAATTTTTTCACATAACTATAATAGAAGCCATTTAATGTGCCGGTCACTTCTGTTTACCTGATTGCATTTACTCTTTGCATAAATATTAGGTGTATATTTACAGGGCCAGTAGGGTTCCAGGGAAGGAAGTGTTTAGTTCTACACATCAGTGTTAAGAAAAGCTTTCAAGAGGATGCTAAGATGCAGCTCAGTTGAGGAGCTAATATTTAGAGACAAACTTATTTATTTATTTATTTGAGACAAGATCTTGCTCAGTCACCCATGCTGGAGTGCAGTGGTGTGATCGCGGCTCACTGTAGCCTCGACCTCCCAGGCTCAGGCGCTCTTCCTGCCTTAGCCTTCCCAGTAGCTTAGACTATAGGTGTGCACCACCAGACCTGGCTGATTTTTAAATTTTTGTAGAGACGAGGTCTCCCTATGTTGCCCAGGCTGGTCTCAAACTCCTGGACTCAAAGATCCTCCTGCCTCAGCTCCCAAAATGCCTCCCAAAGTGGTCTTGGGGTTGAAAGCGCGAGCCCGCATGCCTGGCCCCAGAGACTAACTTCTAAGATGTGAATCAAAATTATAAGCATCCAAATTTGACCAAACTTGGTTAAAATGAAAAGAAAAAAACAAAAAACAAAAACAAAAACCCAAATAACCATACAACAAAAGCTGTAAGTTCCAATGATACCGAAGAGAGAAATTTTGTAAGGATTTTCAAAAATCTTGCCTCTAACAAGTTCAAATCTAAGAAGAACAAAAGCTTAATTTTTTCACATATGCCACCCAGCTAACGCCATGCTATGGTCATGAGCCATACAGTGTGGGAGAGTGTCAGTATGTCTCTGCTAATCTCAAACAGCTGTGAATCACCAGTTCAAAACACACACCTACTGATTATGGGTTAATATCATTAGCTTCATTCTTAATAGATACAATGATCTTAAATATTAGTTTTCTTGACTCTCTAAACTTTGAACAAATTGCTTATTGTATTTTAACAAGTATCATATTTCTACAGAAAGACATGTTTCATAGTTGGTCTTATGCCTTACCACATTTGAATTCTATGTAGCACCTACCATAATAATTGTGCAGGTACTGTTGGCTGTACACCAAAGATGTGTTGTCTTCAGAGTAGTTGCTGGGAAGCAGCTGCCCAGCTGAAACTACATTTCTCAGCCTCCCTTGCATTTAGATGTGGCCATATGTCTAGTTCTTGCTAAGGGAATGTAAAACAAAGTGATGTGTTTCCCTTCCAGGCGGAAGTGCCTAAAAACTTCAAAAAGCGTGCCTCCCCCATAGTCTTCTTCCTTACCCTTTCACCAGATGAAGAGGACTGAAGCATTTTGGATAGCAGAGCCCAGGGAGAACATGACTTGAGCTGTCTGCTGATCTGGAACCCTAGCATTAGATATCGTATTGTTACAGGATCTTTGGAGTGTTGCTTTTTTGGCCAGAAACATACAGCCGGTGGTGCCTTTGCCTCTGGCCCACTGGACTCATTCTGCCCACTCAGCCTGGCAGGCTGTGTTCAGCTCATGCTACTGGCCTGGATCCCATGCCTCCAAGGGATGCCGCGAGTCAGGCATGGAGTGGCAATGGGGTGTGAATGAGCATAGAGTCTGGCCACTGTGCAGTCAGACACGCCAGCTGCTGCTGCGGGGCAGGAAGCTCCAGGTGCCGACATGGGCGCCAGCTCTCTTCAAGGCTGTGGCTGGACCAGCGCCCCACAGGCAGCTGTCCTGGCTCATACTAGGGAATGTGGTGGTGCCCAGAGGCTCAGAGACACCAGGGACCACAGGGTCTCAAAAAGGGAGTCACAGCCCTAGCTCAGGGAGATCCCAGGTCTAGGCTCCCTGAAGGGCTGCAGCTCTTCTCTCCTCTTTGCCCACCAACAAAACGAGCAAGGGGCATATTTCAGCTCTGTTTGTGTTACAGCTCTTTTAGCATCACCATTCCACAAGTCCTGAGTTCTTGTCCTGTGACCAGGAAGAATGAGGTACATAGACAAGTGGAGGGTGAGGAAGACGAAGAGGAGTTTTATTGAGCAACAGAACACCTCAGGGAAGACTCACAGTGGGCAGCTCCTCTCCATAGCTAGGGTGTCCTGACGAGTGTTCAGCTCCTATCAGAGATATAGGCAGGTCATCCCGAAAAGTGTTCAGTTCTCAGCAGAGTGGGTATCTCCTCTCTGCTGCTGGCTGTCCCTTCATCTCTCCATCCTCTGCCCTGGTGTTGCTGAGCCCAGGGCATTTATGGACCTCAGAGGTGAAGAAGTGCACACCAATTGGTCCATGGGCAACCATGGGCAGGCCTGGAAAAGACACCACGAGTCTCCGCTCCAGTCTGTGGGACTGGCAGCCTGGCCCCCAGCCTTCAGGCTCTCCCTGGCCTGAAAATGGGGCCTCACCTGGACCTGCCCCCTTCTGCCCAGGAGCCGGTCTGCCTCCTGTGGCTGTCCATGGCACCCAGGCTGCTTGCACAAAGGGGCACTTGCAAGCCAGCACTGAGCTGCCCTCATCCTCACCTCCACTTCCCTCCCCGCAACACTCATCAGTGCCCAAAGTCTGGAGGAGGCCGAGGTGGCAGGGGGCTGGTGTGTCAGTGCTGTCCGGAGCATGCGCACAGCCAGCTGGGCTGTGACAGCTCTCCGGCTTGGCCCCAACCCCACTCCAAGATTGGAGTGGGTGCCAGGAGTGGGGAGAGACCAGGCAGCAGGAGCAGACAGGCCCCCTAGGGTGCAGACTGCACAGACTCCCAGGTCCTGCTCCTGGGAGGGCGGGGCTTTTGCCCACCCAGCTCACAGCCTTGTCTGAGGGGGACCCTTTGGGAGTGGATCAGGGCCTGGCCTGGCAGTTGAGAGTGTCAGGCCCGGTGATCACCTCAATGCGGGACGGAACCCCTGGACACAGCCCCAGTCAGCCCTGTGCAGAGCCTTCTCCTGACGTGCAGGAACTTGGCTTGGTGGGGTGGGTGCTGTCACTGCAAAAATTGGCTGGGTCCTGAAGCGGGCACTGCTCCCACTTCCAGCCATGGGGCCCTGAAGCACACCCCAGGTCAGCGCCTTGGCTCGGCCACCACGCTCTGTGTGCAAGCGTCACACTGCCCTG
This sequence comes from Homo sapiens, assembly GCF_000001405.40. Lineage (NCBI taxonomy): Eukaryota > Metazoa > Chordata > Mammalia > Primates > Hominidae > Homo > Homo sapiens. The sequence continues at coordinate 87,965,922 of NC_000004.12, read as the reverse complement.
GACCCAGTTCTGCCTTGGGGACCCTCTCTGCCTGACAGCTGCTCCCCTGCCCATGGGCGACTTGGCCTGGCCCCATCGTGGTGGCCCCCAGGGCTGTGGGCTTCGGGGACTGTCTGCCTCTTCCACACATCCTCCCTGCAGCAGCAGAGGGTGACAGCAGCAACGCGGGGCCAGGGGCTGAGCTACGGAGGCTCTGGGCCTGGGGATAGGTCCTGCCCTGCAGTGCTAGGGTCCCGGTGGCGTAGTCGGCTGCCTCCCAGACATTGGACATAGGGCACAGGGGTACCCCCTCCCCCGCAACCCGCCACTACTGCTCCCACAGCCGCTCCTGCCACCACCGCTGGCGCCTCCCAGCTGCAGCTGGCAAGATGACAGCAACCGCTCCGGATGGCCCACCGTTGCCATCAGTATGAATGAGAAATAAGTTTCTATTGCCTTTAGTGCCTGACATCTGTTACGATAGCAGATGTTACCTTAATTAACACAATGCCATATGCATAATATTGCTCAGTTCATAGCTTTTGGATTTTATCGTCTGTGTTCCAGGTCACTAGACTCATGAAACGGAATTTAAGTTATGGTGCTATAACTTTATATGTATCTATTTTCTATTAATTTTTGCTCCCCCATTTCTAAAAGCCAGAATAAGTTCATGCGAGGTTACTAATATGTTAAAATTGAAGTTGATTATTTTATACAATAAGTATGTGACTAATTTTTTCCACAAGGAGATGGTATGCAATATCAGTAGATAAGTGATTAGGATAGCGGGCTTCTCTTGATCCTCTGTTTTTGTTTTTCCCACTTTTGCAAGAAGAGAATCAGCTGTGGTATAGGTTTTAGTGGATAGTGTCCCATGTTGGGAATCTGGGAACCTGAATTTTATCTTGCCTATACCACATAATTAAATATTGTTAAGTTGGCTTATTTCTGAGAAGAAAGAGGCTACAGCTGCCTTCCACTAAATGATAAATTCATCTCGCAACTTCTGAATCGTTCACACAGCATCATTTGCTTTTACTTCTTAGTTAGGCCACCTGTTTTTTGGATACCTTTTGCTTTTTGACCTTCTAACAAGTAGCCAGTGGCAGTTAGAGATCAAGTTAAATTGTCCAGGCTTGGTCCTCAAGTCTGTAATCCCAGCACTTTGATTGCTTGTGCTTAGGAGTTCAAGACCAGCCTGGTCAACATGGCAAAAACCCTGTCTCTATGAAAATAAATAAATAAATAAATAAATAAGAGATCAAGTTAAAATCAACCCATCTAGTTATATTTGAGAACTTAAAGTCATGTTCTCTGAAGGTTTTGAATGACTTCCGTTTACTAGTAAGGATGTGTTCACAGATTAATTTTAGTCTTAGTTGCCTCTCACCAGATCAAATATTGTGTGGGAGGTAAATTCTAGGAAACCTGAAGAATTTTAAAGCACTCTACCATCCTCATATGGAGATGACCATAATTAAAGGAAACAGTAGCTTATGTCAGAAACTGTTTATTGTTGGGAGCTGAAGCTTTGACCCTTTCCTGTATATTTATTTCACTGATATTCCTAAACCTTTGGTGGTCTTTTGGTCTGTGGGTCATAGCTGGGCTAAGGGGTTAGCCAGAGTTCTTAGTGAAGTAGCAAAAGAGGTTATGTGTGACATATCAGCAGAGTGGGTACACCCATTTGTCTGGGTTGGGGAGGAAGTGGAGGCTGGGATCAGTAAAGTGGCCTTTTTCTGTTTTTAGACAGTGCCAAAGCATCTCAGACTGGGGTTTCAGCTTTATTTTTGTTTACGAGGAGTTGGTTCAGACACAAGTGAAATTGTGGTGTCTTAACCTCTAGTAAGATTGAAAACATACATGTTGTTTCATCAAGCTTGGTCTCTTAGGAACCCGGTTTATCGTAGAGATGATGTTATTCTGAATTTAGAAGGAAAAGGGTGACAGAGTTTCATTACAAAGATTATAAAGATGATGATTACAAAGATTACAAACATTTTGTAATCGCTGACTAGAATATAAATGAGTATAAAAATTTTACTTTTTAAGAAGGATAGAAATCCTACATACAGTAAATCTATTTTTCTAAAACATGTTTTACTTCCACAGCAGTTTTATAAAATTGGCAGCTGACTTATTTTTTGTGGTCCTATCTTCTAGCCTGAGTGTTAACCAGGTGGACAGGCAGATTAGGATTAGGAAATAAGATCAATTAAACTTTTATCCTATAGTACCAGGTTTGAGCGGGTACATGGTTGTGTGTAGATCTTTCTTTCACACACAGGATTTGAGTGTTTTTTTTTTTTAACAAAAATTTATGAAACATAAAAGTATAGAGTAAACAGTTGAGGAATTTACTAAAAGAAAGCTAAGAATTCAGAAAGAATTCTAAAAGAAAGCTAAGTGTTGGAGTAAATATTGCACAAAATATAAAACATTTAGTTCTATACATTGGCATGTAAATGTTAATTTTAGTTGCTTTGAAACAACAAAATAAAAATATCAATTTCAGTTATGGTTTAAAAATACACATTGTATGTATCCATGCAGTTAACCAAAATGCATTTTTGAAAAAAAAGGGTGATAAGAATCCTAAAAGATAAAAATGAGACCTCTATTAAAAATAGTATTTCCTATCTAGCACTATGATTCCAGTCCTAGACTCTCCCAGCTGGAAGAGAGATGGTAGGAAGGCAGGGCATTGAGAAAAAAGGGGATGGTTCTTGACTTGTGGCTTCATTTCAGCTCTAAGACAACTTAAATTCTAAAAGTGCAGAAAATCACAAGGAATGAAGATTAGAGCAGATTTAGTTCAAATAAAAAAAGATGCCCTCAATGACAGTCAATTCCATGTATTCAGAAAGCAGTACTGGAATTGACATTATGAGGTGGGGAGGTGGGTTTCTTCTTGGCAGCTGGCTCTTTTCTGATGTGTTCAAGCTTCTAATCAGATGAAACTAGAAGACTTCAGCTGCTTGCATCATTTGTCTTTATCTTTCTAGATCAGGAGTTCAAAAGCCCTTTGCCCAAATCCATTCATAGATTATTTTTGTAAATGAAGTTTTATTGGAACATGGCCATACCCATTCATTTACGCGTCATTTATGTTGTAGCTTTAGTGCTGTAACAGTAAAGTTGCATAGTTGTGATAGAGACCATATGGCCTGCAAAGCCTAAAATATTTGCTCTCTGACAGAAAAAGTTTGCTCACCTCTATTCCAGATGAAATATCTTTTTAATTTTAGTCTATTCTTTAGCTCAAGTATATGAGTGAATCCTTCACCCTCATCCCTACCCTGTCATTTCTAGTTACATCAAGTCAGTTTTGAGGTGCAATGGACTGTGTTCGATATACTGTGTCAGATGCATGAGCATAGCTCTGAACCATTCAATACAATGCTTTCTCTTTTGTTTTCATGCATCCTGATAATGCCTTGCGTTATGGTCGGCATGGGTCACTGAATCAATGATATTAGGGATAAGTATTTAATGATCTTTTGATCCCTTTCTGGTAATAAGTAACAGTTCCTTTTACAAAATCTTGTACTTTGAATTTGTACCAGGTATAAATAATCCTACTTGCATTTGACATGTAACTTATCTGACACTTGTCTTTTACTTACCTGTTAATTTTTTTGCCTTTTCTTTACAGTCTCTTATGGATAGTTCTGTAGTTATCCCTGTTGTCCTCACTTTCTTTAAAAAAAAAATTTTTTTTTGAGACACGGTCTTGCTTAGTCATCCAGGCTGGAGTGCAGTGGCCCAGTCATGACTCACTGCTGCCTTGACCTCCTAGGCTCAAGAGATTCTCCCACCTCAGCTACCTGAGTAGCTGGAACTACAGGCCATGTGCCACCTTGCCCAGCTAATTTTTTTTTTTTTTTGGTAGAGATGAGGTCTGACTATGTTGCCCAGGCTGGTCTCATGTTCTCACTTTCACTAATCAAAGATCTTAGAATCATTTGTAAATCTTTGAATTGTAATAAGAATAATATCAGTATCTTTAATATGCATGGTCCTTTAAAAATTTGAAGTACTTTCAGATTGACTGTCTAAATTGATGCTTGTAACTGTGTTTGCTTCTGGGAAAGGGATCTGATTGGCTAGAGGAAAGAATGGGAGGGAAACAAATTTTCAGAGAAATAATTTTTATAGCTTTTAAATTTTGTATAATGTGTGCATTAGCTACCTATTGCTGAGTAGCAAATTACCACCAGTTTAACAGATTAAAGCAACACACATATATTATCTCAGAGTTTCTGTGGGTCAGGAATGCAGGCACAGCTTAACTACGTTCTCTGTATCAGAGTGTCTCACGAAGCTGGTATTAAAGTGTCAGTCAGGGTTCAGTCTCATTCAAAGGCTTGGTTGTGGAAGGATCTGCTTCCAAGCTTACATAGTTGTTGGCAGGATTCAGTTCCTTGAGGACTATTGGACTGAGGGCCTCAGTTCCCACTTATCTGTTTGCTGGAGGCATCCCTACTTCTCCGACATGACAACTCGCTTTATCAAAGCACACAAGCTGAGAAGGCAATAGAGGAGTCTGCTTGCAAAACAGAAGTCAAAATTTTGTGTTACCTAATCATGAAAATGTCATCCCATTATTTTTGCCATATTAGATTCCTTAGAACAAGTTGTTAGGCCATCCCACACTCAAGGGGAGCGAATTACATGGGGGCATGAATACCACAAATTGGGGATCACGGTGGGCTATTTTAGACTCAGCCCAGCACAAAGAATATGTATTACCTATTTAGTAAAATTAAATAAATAAAAGTGCTTTTAGATATCCAAGACTTTTAAATGAAAATGCAAGTCTCAGTACAATATGTAAAATATGACTCAATTTTTGTAAATAAAAAAGAACATGTGCACATACACACACATATAAAAATGTACACAAAATGGTGAGAATGCTACACATCCAATGGTCAGCAATGATTATGCCTATGGAGCAGAGTGAGAGACGAATGGGTATAAAGAAACTTTCACAATTGAATCTACCTCTTCTCAACACAATAAGAAAGGAATTATGGTCATTTTATTAATACAAAGTTGTAGAGGATAAATGGTTTTTCAATGGCATATACTTACTTAATTGCAGGACCAGGTCTCAGAAGATGGTTTGCCTGAACAGCCAAGATTTTTCTATCCAAGTTATTTATTTTTAAACCAAATTGTTTTATTCAAATAATTTATTAAAAAGTTTAAAAGATTATTTATAAGAATGATAAATACTAGTTTCTCCACTGATACCGAGCACATCTTATTGGGTGGCCATCACCATTCAATATGTCTGATCACCAAGACATTTTTTAACCCATGATAAAACAGAAATTTATATTTAACCCTATGGTAAGTACTATGGTTTGAATGTGTTTGTCTCCTACAATACTCATGCTGAAATTTATCCCCAGTTCAACAGTATTGGGAGCTGTGGCCTTTAGGTGATTGAGTCATGAGGAGTCCGCCCTCATATAAGTGGGATTAAGTGTCCTTATCAAAGAGTTTGACAGAATTTTGCCCCTCTTGTGCCCTTCTCCCTTATACCAAGTGAGAACACAGCATTTCTGTCCTTTGGAAGATACAGCAACAAGGCACCATCTTGGAAACAGAGAGAAGCCCTCACCAGACAACCAAACCTGCCAGTGCCTTCATCTTGGACTTCCCAGCCTCCAGAACTTTGATAAATAAATGTCTGTTCTTTATAAATTATCCAGTTTTAGGAATTTTGTTATAGCAGCACAAATGGACTTAGACAATAGGGATGCCAGATTTAGCAAAGGAAAATATGGCATTTCCCACCTGTCGGTAGTGAAGGGATCTTTTCCAGCAGACCCATCAGCTCTCAAGTTTCCCCTTTTGGGGAGGAGAAAGCTCCTCATGTCCCATGGTCCTGTACATGCCTAATTCTGTTACCCATAGCGATCAGCAAAGAGTGCAAGGCAGATTAATCCAAAGAGGATAGTAGTTAACATCCCATAGTGCCAAACCCATTCTTAGCCACAGGGACTTTACTGAGAGGGGACTCTAACTCCCTAAATCTTAGGAAGGACTCTAACCTTCCTAAATTGGGCCTCAGACCCAAGTTTGGTCAAGCATCCTTGCATTTTCTTAAGAAGAGCCTTTTACCCACCCTGTTTTAGGAGAGACTGTAACTCCCCTAAATTGGGCCTCTAACCCAATTCCATCCTTTACCCAGGTATATGCACCCTACTTACCCAAAGTCAGCCAATTGGTACACACAGATGATTTTCCCTTGGGTCGGGGTATCTTCAATATTGTCCCTTCAGGGTTTGCCAGGAAGATGCTACTGGACTCCATCACTTACCCAAAGGTAGCCTTTGAGTTGGGGGTTTCCTCACTATAGTACCTTCCGTGGTCACCAGAAAGATGTTACCAGAAAGGGATCTGGATCCAGACCCCAAGAGAGGGTTCTTGTACGTCATGCAAGAAATAATTCAGAGCAAGTCCGTAGAGTGAAAGTGAGTTTATTAAGGAAGTAAAGGAATAAAAGAATGGCTACTCCATAGACAGAGAACCCTGTTATAGGAGTTTTTAAGGGAAGGACTAAAGGTAAGAAAGTGCCAAATTTAGTAAAAACAGACCAAGTTGTTATAAATGTTCATTGTTTTGACTAAAGATAAGAAAGTATCAATTGGATAAGAAGAGAGCAAGTTGCTGTGAATGTCTATTAGCTTATAAACTTTACTGTTTTGGGGGTGGTTTTTAACACATCCTAGAATTTTTTTTTAAATAAGATATAATGAGTGCTTAAGGTAAGAATATTTTTGAAACTGAGAAATTATTTTACAATACTTTATAAAAGTTGAACATTACATTTTTTTTGAGTCTTCATCATCTTTTCTATTCTTCTAAATAGTCATTAAACATCTCTGTGGGAGTATAAAGAAATAATGTAATTTGGCAGAATGTGATTTACCAGTGTAAGTTTGTCAAATTTGGCTTTATGACTATATTCCAGGAAAGCAGAAAAGCAAAACTCAATAAGGAAATAGTCTGCAACTAAATTTCAATAAATGTCCCAAAGCATGGAGCATTTGTGTCAAGGTCCTTTGCACATTAATTTAATATATTTTCTTTTGCAATTTTAAACACACTATTCCTTGAAGCTTATCCCCATGATGTAATATCACTGGATGACTGACCAGCTACTACATGAGTTCTAAAATTTCTACTTTTTTGATTGAGTAGTAGCTCTCTGATGGGAAAGGATGACTGTGTGTAGCCACAGAAAAGTGGAAGAGAAAATGGGAATGTACTAATGTCTTAGTCCATTTCTGTTGCTTATAACAAAATACCGGAAACTGGAAAATTTATAAAGAAAAGGAATTTATTTCTTACAGTTATGGAGGCTGAGGAGCTCAAGACCAGCCCTAGTAACATAGTAAGACCCCATCTCTACAAAAAATTAGCCAAGCACAGTGGTGTGCGTCTGTAGTTCCAGCCACTTGGGAGGCTGAGGCAGGAGGATTGCCAAAGCCCAGGAGTTTAAGGCCACAGTGAGCTATGATTGTACTACTGCACTCTAGCCATGGTGAGTGAGCGAGACTCTGTCCCCAAAAAATTTTTTTGGCCGGGCGCGGTGGCTCATGCCTGTAATCCCAGCACTTTGGGAGGCCAAGGCAGGTGGATCACAAGGTCAGGAGATCGAGACCATCCTGGCTAACATGGTGAAACCCCATCTCTACTAAAATTATAAAAAATTATCCAGCTGTGGTGGCGTGCACCTGTAGTCCCAGCTGCTGGGGAGGCTGAGGCAGGAGAATGGCGTGAACCCAGGAGGCGGAGCTTGCAGTGAGCTGAGATCACACCATTGCACTCCAGCCTGGGGACAGAGCAAGACTCCATCTTAAAAAAAAAAAAAATTTTTTTTTTGTAAATCACAGATCCATTCAGTATTCTACATTATATTATAGCATTACCATTAGGAGCAAGGGATTTGTGGTCAGGCTGCCTTAGTTCGAATGTTGCATTGGTCACTTCCTAACTGAGGCACCTCGAGCAAGCTGTTTACTTTCTCTGGGCCTCTGTAACCTCTCTGGGCCTTTCTGTACATAGGGACAGAAACAGCACCTCCTCTAGAATGTTGTTGTAAAGATTAAATGAGCTCACACATACAAAGATTACTTAGTTCCAAGTGCCTGGAACTTAGTAAGGCCTCACTGAAAGTTGAATGTTATCTCTCAGAAGCAATGCCTGAGATTCCAGAGTTTGTGCTAAATTCAAAGCATTGGAAATACATTTTAGATATATGCATAAAGTTATATATGACATTAAATGTAGGAAATCATGTTAGTTTATCAGGTGTTCCATCTTACAAGCAAGGAAGAGAAAACCAGTTATAGCTAGGAAATTTGACAAATTGGCAGCAATAGAAAAACATTTACAAATAAAACTCTTTTAATTGGGCACAATCTGCACATACGTGATGAGAAATGCTACTGTATGTTATAATAGCAGAGAATGCAGAATAACTGGGACTTGGGAATCTGCAACAAACTAAAGTTACTGCATTTAGATGGGCAATATATTGGGATATATCAAATCTAAAACTGTGGTCAACGTTCAGCTTATGTTCCCTTTGTTTCCTGAGTGTTTTCAGCTTACTGAAGTCAAATGACATTTTTCTGCAGATGGAAAATTATGAGCTGTTTAGGGAAATAAGCACATGTGCTAATTATGCTACATCATCTTTTCCATGAGAAGTGCAAATGCAACTTTTAAAAATAGTTTAGATAGAAAACAATTGATAGAAACTTTGTTTCCTTGTTTGTCTCTGTCTCTATGTCTCTCCCTTGCTTCCCTCCAATGAATAGTGGTGCCAATCTTTGCATTAACAAATATCAACCCAGCAAAAAAGGCTGCCAGTTGCATTTTTGAGGGGACGTCCATTTTGTCATTGTTGGGACACCAATTTTGTAGCAGGCTGTAAGCTCTGCTATAATGACTTTGATAGCTGGTAAGGTCCATGCAGGATTTCCCCTATAAGAATTCTGGAAACAAAAGACTTAATTGAAAATAGCTAAATGGCACTATTTATAAATGTATTCAGGTTTAGGAAATGGTAAATAATCATGTACACACTTTCAGGGAATTTATGATAACACTTTTTCCCTCCAGAACAAAGTTAACCTTTGTTGACTCAAATGCATTGGTGTTCCCATCTCGCTTGATTCATGTGGCTGGAAATGAGTTTGCATGCCAATGTGAGGCTGGTCATGTGATTCTTCTTGGAAAACATAAGAAGTATATCACTGTGATTTTGAGCTAAGAAGCATGAAACAGCCGCACATTTTCCTTTTACGTCTTCAAAGCAAACCCACTGATACACCCATGACAATTTATTCCAAACACAGGCTGTGTTTTGACACTAACCCCTTCTCCCCAGAATTTGGAGACAGCTCTGGCCTTTGGCTAGTTTAATGCCCTCACCTGCTCAAGTGTGACAGAGCATTTATTAAAGACAATTATAGAGCAACATTTATAGAACTAGAAATAAACACACAGGTTGCAAGTGAGAGTAATGAGAGTGAACGGCCATCATGGGCTTGGGCCCGAAGGGAGGTGGGTTGCTGTGGGGTCTCCAAAGCCCAAATCTCTGTCTTTCTTCTGGTTTTGTTTATGTAGCCAGTGAAATGCTACCACATCACTGACCTTGGACTCCCTCCTACCATGAGACTCTCCACCATCCTACAAATACTCAAAGGGAGTATTCTACAAATACTCAGAGTAGCTAAGGTAAATGTTATTAATCACAACTTTTAGGGAGTTCACAAGTTTATGAGCAAAGGAGAGGAAAACATGAACATAGTGAAAGCAGGAAATTTTGACAAATGGGCAGCAATTGCACACAGCTGATAGAGGAAAGGAAGCTGGAATCAATGGGTAACTATTCCCTTTTCCCTCAGTGGTCACACTAGTTGTATGAGCTAGCATCCATGAGAAGGAATGTTATTTATTCCATTGTGGTGGAAGGAAACAGCATGTGTCCTGCAAAACCTACCTGGCCATCCCAAAAGAAGTATTATCTTTCTCCTCTAAATTACCATAAAGCTTGAAATATGCTCCTTTTCATGGGAAATAACATCTGTTCTTCCTTTCAGTTGGATGGGGAGAGGGAGGAGAGGAAAAAAAATAATACAAAGAAATCCAAATAAACAATTAGGTTCAATAGTTACAAATGAATTACTTAGATTATTTAGATAGTGTGGTCAAGGAAGGCCTCTCTGAGGGGATGCATATAAGCTGGGACATAAAAAATTCAGGGGAGTTTGCTACAAAAGCAAGAAAAAGAATGTTCCAGAAGAGAGAGAACAGTATGTGCACAATGTGCAAGAAAATAAAAGACCTGGGGTGTGTACTTGAGGAGCTGAATGCAGGCAGGTTTGACTCGAAGTTGGTGAACATTCCTGAGGAGAAAAGAGCCTGACTACTACATCTAATTTCATTGGTCAAAATGGTTTTAAAAAGTACCTTTTTTTTTCCCTGGAATATATTGCTTGACCAGACACAGTAGATTTACTCTTATCATTTAGCATACTTTGTCCAATGCAGAAAATATAAAAACTGTTTCTTACTTAATTACTGACCACTGAAAAGCTTAAATTATAAAATGTATTGCCAATTAAAGATATTTCTACTTAAATTTTGGTTTTGTTCACAATACATATGAAAGTTCATAAATGCATTTCAATTTAAAAACATACATAAAACCCAATACAAGATAATTCCTCATTTTTGAAAAATGCACCCTTTTTGTTATCCCATCACCATGGGGAAATTATGAACTTACCAAGTAGCTTTATTATTATTTCTTCCATTTATTTTCCTTTGTATTTGAAAATCATAGAATCCAAAACTAGAGAAACAGTAAGTAAGAAATGTATTGCTTAAAGGAGTAATACAATTTTTTTGGATTAATTCTGTTAAGGTTTGTAATTATGAAACAGCAGGAATGTTGTATTTTCCATCTTCATATTATGATGTAATTAATTTAGTTATTTTTACAGCACAAAAGAAACATGATACGTAAGTATGTGCAGGTAACAATCAGAAATTCACTCATTCAGTTAATGAAACTGCGGTGAAACCAAACAAAGCCCCTGCCTTCAGAGTTTGAATTCTAGCATGAAAGCTGATTGTAAAAAAGCTGACAACTAAATATATAACACAGCTGGGTGCCGTGGCTCACGCCTGTAATCCTTATACTTTGGGAGGCCGAGGTGGGAGAATTGCTTGAACCCAGGAGTTTAACACCAGCCTGGGCAACAAAGCGAGACTATGTCTCTACAAAAAATACAAAAACCCTTAGTCAAGCATGGTGGCACAGGCCTGAATTCCCAGCTACTCAGGAGGCTGAGGTGGGAGGACCACTTGAATCCTGAGATGTCAAGGCTGCAGTGAGCCGAGATCTCGCCACTGCACTCCAGCCTGGGTGACAGAGACTCTCTCTCTCTCTCTCTCTCTATATATATATATTTGCTCTCTCTCTCTCTCTCTATGTACATGTACACACACCACATATATATGATACAACATTATGTTATAATAAATGTATTACAATAGCTTATTGTGTTCATAGTGTTAAATAGCAAAATACTTATGTTCAGATTAGGCTGTTATGAAAATTTCTATTTTAGTCTATTTTAGAAAATCATGGAAAGCACACTCCTGTACAAAATACAATCAACATAGTTTGTTTCCTGTTATAAAAAGGTATAATTTGGAAAGTAACTTGGAGTTAAAGAAGAAGTTATCAGGCAGTTATTTTTGGCTCTGGTTTATGCAGTTTTAAAAAAATATGTGAAGTCAGGTTTGTGAAGAAAGTTCTTGTCTCTTTAGCTTCCTGTTTAAGTAGTAAAAAAGAAGTCTAGGAAAGTCCACTATGACCAAGCTATAATGACAGTTTATCCATTGGAGATCTTTTTTTCTCCCCTGCCCATAAGCATAACCTCAGAAAGATGAAACCCTCACCACAGCACATGTGTACATTTTGCTGAATTGATAAAAATTGCATAATTCAAATCCCAATCTTAGAAGTCAGGAATTACACTGGAGAACCTAACTGAAGCTGACGAGACTACAATTATAGAAAGATCAGTATTTGAGCCCTCAAAAGTCAGTTGTTTGGAATAATAATTACTACAAATTCAATAATTTAAAAAAATCATTCTTCAAAATCTCTTCACTAGATGGAAAATTCTATTCTTCTTACATAGAGATCCCTCTTTAGCTGGCTGAAAAAATAAAGTGAAATGTTAAAATAAGTAGCCCCGTTCCACAGTAATTTGTTTTGCATGTTAGTTAAGACGGTTACATGTGCTTTAGAGGTAATGAAGTATTTAGGATGTCAAAGAAAGAATTTTTTCAGTCCATTTTCATTCTTTCTAGTATGTTTCACATTAATGTGCCAAGGTATTTATTACTGATCATGTATCAGCGTATTTATTATTCATCACATGGCAATATATCAAGGCAACGATGAGTATTGAGACACTAAGTCTAATCAGGGTTATCACCTGTTAAATTTGAGAGCACAGATTTAACATATAGCATCTAAACTCCTATTTTCTGCTAATGTTAAATCTGACAAACATTAACTGTCTGCTACACTGAACCTTTTCAGAAGGAATCTGAGCTCAGTCACAGTGGATACATTTAATTGTCTTACTTTAATGTGAGATTCAGTGTAAAGTAGTACACCAAATGACAACTATGTATTAAACATTTTCCTTTCTTCTTATCTACTTAAGATTCACTTTCTGCCTGTAATCCCATTGCTGTGGGAGGCTGAGGCAGGCAGATCACTTGAGGAATTTGAGACCAGCCTGGGCAACATGGTGAAACCCCATTGCTACCAAAAAATTAGCGGGGTGTGGTGGTGCTTGCCTATAGTACCAGCTACTTGGGAGGCTGAGGTGGGAGGATCACTTAGGTCCAGGGGATTGGGGCTGCAGTGAGCCACGATCGCAACACTGGCACTCCAGCCTGGGCAACAGAGCGAGACCCTTGTCTCAAAAAATTAAAAATTAAAAAAATTAAAAATTAAATTAAGATTCACTTTCCAGGCATGCCAAAATCCCTCTGGGCCCTTCGAGGCAGAAACCAAGCATCTCTCAGGGCATTCATTCCATGCTGTCCAGTTGCACCAGTGGTCCCAGGAGCAGCTGCCTGGATAACTTAGGTCTCCACAGTCTCCTCTTGCTCTGGTATCTGTAGCTGTTGAAGTTTTAGTTTTCACTTCCCTCTCACTTCTTGCAACTGCAGTCTTTTTTCTAAATCATTTTGCCCCCCTCCAGACAATGCCTTGATTCCTTCATTGACTAAAACAACAACAACAACAAACACACAAACCCCCACAAGATATTTATATATAGCATCCTATTACTGAAGCTTTGGAGTTGTACAGTAGAATTACAGTATTACTGACTACCAGCCAAAGGTTAAAATTTAATAATAGTCATCATGGTTCTACCGTGGCCTCCATTGGCCATCTATCCACCATTTCTTACTGGCTGTCTCTCCTTAGACTTGTTTGCTTTCACTCTTGGTCACTGCATTGCCCACTCCTGCTCACGTCCTTTCCCTGTCATCTCCAGTATTAGTCTGCTAGAGCTGCTACACCAAAGGACGCAGACTGGGTGTATTCTGTGAAACAACAGAAACATATTTTCTTACAGTTCTGGAACTAGAGTCGAAGATCAAGGTGTAGGCAGGTTCGATTTCTCCTGAGGCCTCTCTCTTTGGCTTGCAAGTGGCTGCCCTTTTTCTGCACCCTCACCTGGCCCTTCCACTGTGCACACACATCCCTAGGGTCTGTGTGTCCTAATCTCTTCTTACAAGGACATAATCAGATTGGATTAGGGCCACCCTCATTTAAGTGACCTCATTTAAGCTTAATTACCTCTTTCAAGACCCTATCTCAAATTATAGTCACATTATGAGATTCTGGAGGTTAAGGCTTCAATCTATGAATTTTGGGAGACACACAATTCAGCCCATAACAGCTTCCAAGTCTTCTCCTCTTTTGTTTTACCCCCCAATCCCCAAATTTTAGTCCCATTTCTAAAGCAGAACAACTTTGTTTTCTATTCAGTACCTCTCTCTATGTTAAACACAAAATGATATCTACTTTCAGACTTCAGATGAAAGTTATTTATTTTTATTTTTTTGAGGCAGACTCTTATTCTGTTGCCCAGGCTGGACTGCAGTGGGGTGATCATGGCTCACCGCAGCCTTAACTTCCCAGGCTTAGGTGATCCTCCCACCCAAGCCTCCTGTGTAGCTGAGACTACAGGTGCACTTCACCATGTCCGGCTAATTTTTTGTATTTTTTTTTTGTAGAGACGGGGTTTCACCATGTTGCCCAGGCTGGTCTTGAACTCTTGGGCTCAACTGATCCTACCACCTCGGCCTCCTAAAGTGCTTGGATTACTGTGCTTTGCCCCAGGATGAGTTTTGACATTACAGTTTCTTCTATAATATAAATGAGTTCTGTGGTAGGATTCTTTTTACCATCAATCTTTGTGTGCAGTGGGAACAAATGTGATTTATTCTCTTTGTGCTGAAGTTCTCACAGGGCCATTAGATGGCTGGGGGTTGGCTGAGGTTGGTTTTCCTTTTGCATTTTCACATATTCTCTCTTGAGTTTACTCGCTTGCATTACAATAAGAATTTGTAGAGGTACTAATTCTGAAAGAAAAGGAAGTATCTTGTCAGCTGGTCATACACTGGTTTCAGGATTCTTTTTAAACAAAAGGTTATCCAGTCCATACCAGTTACCTTACATGAATAAGCCAAAGAAATGCAGTTGACTCTCCAAACCTCTCCTTCCCTAATCTCTCCCATCCTGATAGCTGCTCCTTCGATTCCACCCTTTTGGGGACTTTTCTTGCAATTCCAGGGCACTCTCAGCACTCATTTACTCAAGTCATCTTTATTGAGCAATTGGTCTATATTATCTTTAATCTTTACAACATTCCTGTAAGGTTGATATTATTAAATATATTTTACAGATGAGAGGTTGTAGCAGGTCTCAGTCAAAGTCACAGTCATATGCTACTTAGTGATAGAACCTGAAATTGACCTATGTCTGAACTGTTTTGAACAGTTTTTTAGTTTGTTAATATTCCATTTCTTTTCCAAACCTTTCAGTAGCTTGCTGCTTCCTGAAACAGTGTCTCCTAATTTACATTCCTTTGGCATTGACCCAGATCTCCTTCCCTTCAGTGCCTCCCACCAACTACTGTGCACCTCCTCTTGCCATGTATGACCCTGACTGACATACAGGTTCTTATGCCAGGTTCTTATGTCCCTGCTGTTTTCACTGTACAAGAATATCAGATGTAAGACACTCCTGCTTTTCAAATTCTCACAAGGGGCTGGAATTGTCAAAATTCTTAGTTGTGTCTTCAAACATTTGAAAACTGTAAGGTCTATCCACGTTTATATTCCTTCCCCCTGACCCTTTTTAAAATCAAAGAATATTTGCAGGGGTGGGTAATTATCCCCAATCTCATAATGTTATAAAATGACTCTTTTAAATTTTGCATTTCACCTCCCTATCCTGGTTGACATAGGTTTACATATTGGCTAGCTCCTTGTCCAGCCCTTTCTGGTTTAGGCAGGGAGAGAGGTGATTCATGCCCGTCAGGGTCATACATGGCAAGAGGAGGTGCACAGTAGTTGGTGGGAGGCACTGAAGGGAAGGAGATCTGGGTCAATGCCAAAGGAATATAAATCAGGAAACACTGTTTCAGGAAGCAGCAAGCTACTGAAAGGTTTGGAAAAGAAATAGAACATTAACAACTAAAAAACAGTTCAAAAGTGAATCAAGATGAAAAATTCATTAGGAGAGGCAAGAGAATGAAACAAGATGGCCAAGGGCCAAAGGAAATAAACATAGGTTGAAGAGCAGTTCAGGAAGAAAATCTTTGATTGTTATTATATTGTCCTTTATGCATATCTTAGCATGTATCATCAAGGCCCTGTTAAAATGTCACTAGGGCTGGAATTTTTGAATTTATCTCTCTATAATAAGATATGATTAACTTCTAGGTATTTAACTGCTTGGTGAGTCTTGTTTGATTCTTCTGAATTCCTTTTCTTCTTAAATGTTTTGTGCAGAAGAGAGACACAAACATAATCAGTGGTTAATTTATCAAACATGAAGACATCCTAACAACTCTGTGATATAACTTTATTGTTATTCCCATTGTACAGATGAGAAAATGGTGGCACAGAAATGTTAAGTACTTTTCCTATGGTTACAAAACAAGTAAGTGGCTAGCAAGGATTTGAAATGATTACTATGCAATATGTTAAGAGATAAAATGATACAGTATAAACAAATGAGGATCCAACGAATTCCGCTTGGATGAGGATCAGGGAGAGATGTACTAATGAAATTACATATCTCCTTTTGGGTTATTCCACAATTTGGTGCCCATATAAACGTTAATATTACCTCTGATTGTGCTCTCATGTAAATTTTACTGGTGAAACTGCTCTCATTACCCAGATACTGAAAGTAATAAATGAACAAGGATTTTTTCCTGTTTTTTTTTTTTAACCAAATAACCCTAAATCTTGTTTCATTTGTTTATTTTTTGAGACAGGGTTTCACTCTGTTGCTCAAGCTTTATCACGATTGAGCAGTGGCGTGATCATGGCTTACTGTAGCCTCAACCTCCACAGGCTTAGGTGATTCTCCCCGCTCAGCCTCCTAAGTAACTGGGACCACAGGCACAGGCCACCCTGTCTGGATGATTCTTGTACTTTTGGTAGAGATGGGGTTTTGCTATGTTGGCCAGGCTAGTCTCAACCTCTTGGGCTCAAGTGATCCTCCTGCCTTGGTTTCCCAAAGTGTTGGAATTACAGGCGTGAGCCACCTCTCCTGGCTGACCCTAAGTCTTAAAGACATTCCCACTCCACAGGGCTGGGGTGCTCCATTCAAGTTCAGGTTTGTTTCAGAAATTCTAAATATCAAGTACCATTTGTATAAACAAGTTTTAGTAAACAGATATGAAAGCAGTTATTCAATCTCATTCAGTTATTTGTCCTTTTTTCATTCCACAAGATCCACTTTATGGAAGCTTTGTCAATATTTTAACTGAGTTTTTTTTGTAAGAAGTAGTAGTGTGAATAACATGTTAAGATTCCAATAATTATATGTAGACTTCAGGGAGTTTGGATGAGAGAAGAGGGTATTTTCTGGACAAAATGTTTTCCTGTGAAGAGTTCTCCCTATACATATAATCCTAAGGATAAGAGTAAACTGGGCTAGAAAGATGAGTTAAATTTCCTTTTAAATGGCATGGTTCTTTAATAAAACTCCCCTAAGAAAAGTTCAACAGAACAAGGAAATAGGATTCATTTTCTTCGCAAAACATTTATCAGCTAGTGGGAAAGGTCTAGTTTTTCTGAATTTTCCATTTTTTATGTTGTATGATCATAGGAATAAAAAGCGACAAAAATTTCTAATCCAAATGAAATTAGGGAAAAACCATGGTGAATTCCAGTCCTCAGGGAACATAGGATTCTAGCTAATGGAGGGTTTATTAAAAAGTGTTTTTATCGTTCTGAATACTAATGACACCTTATAACAATACGCTGCCTGTAGATATAAAAACTGAAGACGTTGAAGGGATTAGTTATCAATACATCAGATCATTTCTGAACAGAATTTTATTAAAACAAAACAGAACAAAAATATAAAGTTATTTTCCTTATTATTTATATTTTTCTAATTATGTATGGGAGAAACCTTTTATCAACTGGATATTTTTATTGTGTTTTTGTTTTTACAGCTTTATTTTAATGATATTATGATTTGAGTTGGTAGGGATATTCCACAGCAAGCTACTTTAATTTCTCTGAAACCCAGTTTCTCCTCAGAAAAATGGAGAAATTAGTCATCTCTACCTCATAGAAATGTTGTGAAGATCAAGATAAGGCACATAAGGCACTTAGCAAGTGCTGGGAACATGGCGAAGGCTAAATGGATATGAACTATTATACTATGATCCTTCTTGAAACAGGTTATAATGGCTGTTTTGAACTGCATGTTTGTGTCCTTCCCCTCACCCCAAATGCACATGCTGAAACCATAATTTCCAGTGGAATGGTGGAGCCTTTCAGAGGCAATTAGGTCATGAGGGTGGAGCCCTCATGATGGATTAATCCCTCATGATGGGATTAGTGCCGTTTTAAGAAGAGGCAGGATTGAGCTCACCTTCTCTGTCCTCTTCACCAAGTCAGGACACGGCAAGAAGATGGCCATCTGTGAACCAGAAAGAGAGCCCTCAGCAGAACTCAACCATGCTGGCACCCGGATCCTGGACTTCCCAGCCTCCAGACTGTGAGAAATAAGTCTCTGTTGTTCATGCCACCCTGTCTATGGGATTGTGTTACAGCAGCCCAAACGGACTAAGATGATGGCACTGATGTCGAGTCTGTGTGCAGCATACCCATATTGTCCTGTGTTACAGATTATATTTTCCAAAGATGGCTGCAACAATATCTTGCAGCATCCCACGTGTGCTCTCCTTACAGGGTAACGCTGCCATCCCTCCCATTAAAGGGGACTCGAAGTCCACTCTCCTCGAAGACGGAGGGCCTCTGTGACTTCCTTGACCAAGAGAGTTGGTTGAAAGTGATGCTATGTGATTTATGAGGTCATAAAAATACATATTTCTATCATGTTTTCTTGGCACATATGTTTTCAAAAAAGTCAGCCGCCATATAAACAGTCCATCTTCCCTGAGGTGCCGTACTGTAAGGAAGCCCAAGCTAGCCCATGCAGAGAGACCACATGCAGAAACTCTGAAACCAAATGGACAGAGTGGGGGTGGTGGTGCCTGGTTATCACCCAGGCGCCCAGTCCTCATTATACCAGCTCTAGCCATTGTTTGGCTGCAACTGCGGGAGCAGTCTCAAGCCAGAACTACCAAGCCCAGCCCTTCCTGAATTCCTGACCCAGAGATTCCAGGATTGTAAAAAATATTTTAGCATAACTATTTGTTTTGCAGTAATAGTCATGAAACATTCTCCTTTTATCACTTGAGCCTTCTTAGTGACAGAAAGAGGTTCTCTGTGAAGTGTGAAATAACAGAGTAAATAACATCATACTGAGCAAATCTTAAGTTTGCTCACAGAAAAACACTAAAATGTGAAATATCTTTAGTTCTGGAAGGATTTAGGGTTCTCAAAAGCGCAGGCCTTCTGCAGAACACCCATTTCACCCACATATCAGTCTACTGAAGTCTGCTGTTCCTCAGCAAAGTTTTCTCCTCAGAAGGGGATGATTGTTTAGTTCTATTTTATAAAGAAGTTTGAGGCCAGGCGCGGTGGCTCACGCTCGTAATCCCAGCACTTTGGGAGGCCGAGGCGGGCGGATCACAAGGTCAGGACCTCAAGACCGTCCTGGCTAACATGGTGAAACCCCGTCTCTACTAAAAATACAAAAAGTTAGCCGGGCGTGGTGGCGGGCGCCTGTAGTCCCAGCTACTCGGGACGCTGAGGCAGAAGAATGGCGTGAACCCGGGAGGGGGAGCTTGCAGTGAGCTGAGATCGGGCCACTGCACTCCAGCCTGGGCGACAGAGCAAGACTCCGTCTCAAAAAAAAAAAGCAAAGCTTGAAGCTTATGTGCTAATTACTACTGAACACTTTTAAATATTCAAAAATTAATAACGGTTACTCTAAATGAGAATTTAAAATGCCAGTTAGGCATGTTACCATGCTGCCCAACAACTCCCTCAGGCTTTCCACATATTATACCACTCCCATTAGACGTGGGTGAGTGCCATTCGTCTTCGTCCCCATAGCTTCACTCCCTGGTAGGGTATGGGAATGTTCAGAATTCTGCCACACATATAAGCAACTATTAGCAAACAGATATAAAAGCACTTATTCAATCTCGTTCAGTCCTTTGTCCTTTTGTCATTCCACAAGATCCACTTTAAGGCAGCCTTGTCAATATTTCAGTGTAGGATGAGCCAATCATCTACTAGGATCCGGTAAACAGCCTTGTATGAAATGTAAGTGTGTGTATGTGTGTGCACTTAGGACAGAAGGGGATGGGGTGGGGTTGGGAGACGCAGGCCTGATGAACAGAACTTCAGAGCCACAGCCATGTCCTGTTGAGCCTGCCAGATTTTTACACCTTTTTCCTGCAAGGAAAAGAGTGTTTATATAGACTTTCTAGCCAATTATATTTATTAAATACTACTAATCACAGCAATGTAAGGTTATTTCTAATATCCCTGATGCTATTTTTTAAACGTTTTGGTGAAGATTTAGATGGGGAAATTTGAAGCACTTGCTAAAAGCAACTCTCAAATGTGTACTGCTGATTATGGTTTTCCAAACACTTACTGTGCCTGTGTGTGAATTACTGCTTAGAATATTACAAATATTAGCTAACTGCACCCAGGGTGGTGATTAAAGTTCACACACACACACACACACACACACACTTAACTCATTCTGCTTTGGTGAAATATTGTAAACTGTTTTTCCGACAATTTGACAGCATCACATGCACAAGGTGAAACCAAATCTTTTCTTTGACCTTTAAGTCGCTACATAATCCGTCCCCATGTTATGCTCTCACCTCATGTACACTCTTCCTCTAACGCACCCCACTCCAATCATATGTATGTCTTTCCTATTTCTCCAACCTGCTTGGGCTCCACGTGCCACATCACCTGTGCTTCTGTGGTCCGTTCTGCCTGGAATATTCCCTCGGATGGTCACGTGACTGGTTCCTTCACCTCACTCAAGTGTCTTCACAGATGCTACTTCCTCAAGAAGGCTTTCCCCATCATCTTCGTACTTCTCAGTCTTTATTATTTTGTCTCTGTTTCTTCATAGAATTTATCCTTACTTGGCATTTTGTAAGACAGTAATTAATTAGTTAGTTAATTTTTTTGCCTGTCTCTACCACTAGGATGTGAGGCCTATGTTGGTAGAAAATTTTCTCCTTGGTTCACTGCTTTATCACTAGTGCCTGGAGCATGACGGGCCCTCAAAAGCTTTCTTAAATGGATGGATTGAGTAGTATTCATCCAAACTCTATCTTATATTCTGTTGTGTTATAGCTTTCTTTTTAAAATTGTATATATTTTAAATGTACAACATGGTGTTTTGATTTGTGTATGTTACAGCTTTCTTAATTCATTGAATTTTGATAGGTAACATTTGAGTAATTCTTTGAGATGCAATCCATAGTGCAAAGTCGGCTGGTGCATTCTGGGCAGTAACACAAAGGCTGGCTCTTGGTAGCTAGTGCTGAAACCAGGGCTGGTGCCCATGACATTTGTTTATCCATTTTGTTCATTTGTTTATAAAACAAAACTCTGAAACATGATGTGTCAGGAACTGTGGTAGCTCAATAGTAAGGTATAAGGAAACTCTGCCCTCATCAAGAATAAAGTCTATCAGGGAAGAAAGACAATTAAACAAGCAATTAAAATCAATCATGGTAGTGCTATTGTGAGATAAATACAGGATGCTATGCAACAGGGATAGGAGGAAGAGGTAGCATCTGCCAGTTTATGGGAGCTGACTGTTAAATTTCTGGGAATTTTGCGAGCTCATTTTAAACACAGACATTATTAAAAATTGTTATGTAAACTTATAATTAGATAAATTATATCAAAAATAAATTAGATAAATTATACTAAAAAGCAAAGGTAATAAATGCCCCATCATTTCCTGATGATCTTGTTGCTGAGGTTCTTTATGGCTGTCGTTGTGTGGTGGAATTGTTCTTAATGCTGGCTACCGCACACATTTCCCTAACTCTTCATTCAATGACATCATGTTGGTAGCTCAAGATAAACCATGGCGTGAGTATTCACACCATGGAAATTGCTGCAGATCAGGGTTTTTTCCTTCAAAGAGCCAGTTATAGACATTTACCAGCATGCCATTGCTCTCAGAGCACACAGCACAACACCTAACCTCACCTGGGGACATCAGACAACGAACCTGAAAGGGGAAGCAGGAGTTAACCAGGTGAAAGCTGCATGGATGATAGAGAGTATCCCCTCCAACATCAAGGCCAAACAGGTGAGATAGCTCTTATTTGCATTCAGCACACCATCATTCTGCCTCTGTATGCCTTTTTTCTTCAGGTTACTCTTCCAAAAATACATACTCCATGTATATATATGGATGTATAATTTATCAATATATATAGCTAACACTATGAACCTTCATTAAATTTCTTTTCTGTTCATTTAGGACAATATTTAATTAAAGCCATGATAGAAGTGCCCCAACAGGCCATATTTCACCTTGTTTACTCAGCTTCATTGTTTTTTCCTTTAAAATAATCAAGGTTTTATTAACTATAAATTGGAATATTGTGTTTATAACTTGTGAGATAAGAAGAGAAAGAATGTCTGTACTGAAATTTGACATTTATTTTTATCTTTTTTAAATTTAAAAAATTTTTATTATACTTTAAGTTCTGGGATACATGTGCAGAATATGCAGGTTTGTTACCTATAAGAGTTGTGTATTTCAAAAACTGAAATCTCATAAAAAGTTAAATTTTTGTCTGACAAAAAAAATTCTTTCCTTTAAGAATGTTGAATAATGGCCCCCACTCTCTTCTGGCTTGTAGGGCTTCTGCAGAGAGATCTGCTGTTAGTCTGATGGGCTTCCCTTTGTGGGTAACCCGACCTTTCTCTCTGGCTGCCCTTAACATTGTTTCCTTCATTTCAACCTTGGTGAATCTGACGATTTTGTGTCTTGGGGTTGCTCTTCTCGAGGAGTATCTTTGCGATGTTCTGTGTATTTCCTGAATTTGAATGTTGGCCTGTCTTCCTAGGTTGGGGAAGTTCTCCTGGGTAATATCCTGAAGTGTGTTTTCCAACTTGGTTCCATTCTCCCATTACTTTCAGGAACACCAATCAAACATAGGTTTTGTCTTTTCATATAGTCCCATATTTCTTGGAGGTTTTGTTCATTGCTTGTCATTCTTTTTTCTCTAATCTTGTCTTCATGCTTTATTTCATTAAGTTGATATTCAATCTCTGATATCCTTTCTTCTGCTTGATCGATTTGGCTATTGATACTTGTGTATGCTTCATGACGTTCTCATGCTGTGTTTTTCAGCTCCATCAGGTCATTTATGTTCTTTTCTAAACTGGTTATTCTAGTTAGTAGTTCCTGTAACTTTTTATCAAGGTTCTTAACTTCCTTGCATTGAGTTAGAACATTCTCCTTTAGTTCAGAGGAGTTTGTTATTACCCACCTTCTGTAGCCTACTTCTGTCAATTCGTCAAACTCATCCTCTGCCCAGTTTTGTTCCCTTGCTGGCGAGGAGTTGTGAACCTTTGGAGGAGAAGAGGCATTCTGGTTTTGGAATTTTCAGCCTTTTTGCGCCGGTTTTTCCTCATCTTTGTGGATTTACCTACCTTTTTGGTCTTTGATGTTGGTGACCTTCGGATGGGGTTTTTGGGTGGGCATCCTGTTTGTTGATGTTGATGTTATTGCTTTCTGTTTGTTAATTTTCCTTCTAATAGTCAGGACCTTCTTCTGCAGGTCTGCTGGAATTTGCTAGAGGTCCACTCCAGCTCCAGACCCTGTTTGCCTAAGTATCACCAGCAGAGGCTGCAGAACAGCAAAGATTGCTGCCTGTTCCTTCCTCTGGAATCTTCTTCCCAGAGGGGCACCTGCCAGATGCCAGCTGGTGCTCTCCTGTATGAGATGTCTGTCGACCCCTGCTGGGAGGTGTCTCCCAGTCAGGAGGCATGGGGGTCAGGGACCCAGTTGAGGAGGCAGTCTGTCCCTTATCAGAGCTCCAGTGCTGTGGTGGGAGATTCATTGCTCTCTTCAGAGCCTGCAGGCAGGAACGTTTAAGTCTGCTGACGCCCACAGCCGCCCCTTCCCCCAGGTGTCTCAGTTTCTTTTTTATAGTAGTAGATTCAATAGCTTCTCTACTAATGCTTTTTATCATGCTGATTTTAGTTGTATCTTTCTATTTGCATTCAGGGCCTATAGAGTCCTTCACATTTTGGCTGAAGGAAAGAAAGAAAACACTTAGACCTTGATTTACTGAATCCTGGGAGAAATGACCTCCTATAGACTTGCTTATATGTAGCCCTAATGTTTTGGTATCCTAGAGGATAGGCCTGGACTATTGACTCATTGCAAAACCTGTAAATGTGTTAACAAACTCCTCTTTGAGCTATCCAGACTGGACCTCTAGGTTTTCTGGGAAACATCACAGAGAATATTGTTTTCACGTTTCTCTACCATTTATCTTCTGCAGAAACCACCAGAGTATCATATTCTTAAGGGTGTCTTTTTTTTATTTTTTTTTACCTTTTGAAAATCACAGATCTAGAAATGTAGTCAGCTTCTGCTGTCTGATGAACGAGCTCATGTTGATGGCAAAACCTTCACCTGTCATTTTGGTGAATGATGTATCCAGATCCTGTTACATCATTATGAGGCCACAAATGGAAAAGTAAAAACAAATGGGAGTACAGTAGAGAAACAATGTTTCCAGAGGCATTTAAAAAGCATTTCCAGTCTCTCTGTCTCTCTTTTTGTTTTTCTTTAAATCTTCTCCCAGAATGTACCATATAATGACATTGATGCCTGGTTTTCATTTTGTTTTTTAATAGAGGACATGGACCTTGTATAGTTTGTGGCCATGACCTTAACATTTTTGTATTTCCATGAGTATCTTGCAAGGCAATTTAGAAAAATAGAGGGATGGGTGCAGTGGTTCATGCCTGTAATCCCAGGACTTTGGGAGGCAGAAGCAGGAGGATTGCTTGAGCCCAAGAGTTTGAGGCCAGCCCGGGCAACATAGTGAGACTCCATTCCTACAAAAAAAGAAAAAGCCAGGTATGGTGGTGAGTGCTTGTAGTCCAAGCTACTTGGGAGGCTGAGGTGGGAGGATGGCTTGAGCCTGGGAAGTGGAGGCTGCAGTGAGCCGTGATCATTGCACTCCAGCCTGGGCAACAGAGCAAGACCCTGCCTCAAAAAAAATAGAAACCACTTTTTATAGAATTTCTTTTGGACAATTCTACACTTAAAAAATATGCTTGTGCTGTTTTCAGTGATCTGAAATAAGAATAATTCCCTAGGGATTTGTATCTTTTTTTTTTTTTTTTTTTTTTTTTTTTTTTTTTTTTTTTTAACTCCTAAGAAGAAAGTGTGGACAGGCAGACTTCAAGTGTAACATTCATGGAGTTAATTAAGTTGCCATTTATTTTGCTAACCAGAGAGGAACCACTGATTTTGTCAAAAAGATGAAACGCTTGAGTGTCTTCAAAAAATCTAATAAAACATAGCTTCCCACTTCATACTGAAGAGAATTGTCCTGATAGTTTTTTCTCCATTATGCAACTGGGAAGAGCCAAACAGAGAATATTTTCCTTGTGCTGGGGCTGGAATAATGAAGAAAGCCACAGACCTTGGGCAAATTACTCTACTTCTCTAAGAGTGTTGAAAATCTGTTTTAAATTAAGAACTGATGGAGTGAGCAGCACTATTTTTATAGCAAGAACGATTTAAAAAATGTTCCTTGTAAAAACATTACATGAAAATTTTAGTTTTAGTTTTTGTTAAAATAAGATTTTATTGACTTTCTACTAGAAGAATAGAAATAGGAAATTGCAAAAGGCATCAATTTCTCCTTTCAGTACAGTCTCCCAGAAGTAATCCTTTTTAACAATGTGTAATAAGTGATGTGTTGACATGACTGTTAAGACTATTATGAAAAGGCTAAAGAAAGAAGCATGAAAGCAAGATTGACAGAGTCATGCAGGGAAACAAAGGCTAGTTCCTGGCTCACTCTCCAAAGTGCACTCCTGAATGATCTTCCACAGGTTTAAACTCATTCTTAGATTATGGTTACCCTTCTGCTTTCTGGGTACTTTTATATCAAGGCTTCAAAGTGCTTTATAAATATACGCACCAGAAAAAAAAGTACTTTTAAGGGTCTTATTGGATGGATAAAGTAATTTGCCTTTGCTGTGGGCTGTCTAGACAGTGGCACATCCAAATGCAATGATTTTTTGTGGACTCTGGAGATTGCATAAGAACCAGCCTCTGTTTTTGGTCCATCCTGCTCACCACTAAAATGCGAATTGTCCAAGTTCTTTTGCACGGGCAACTTATGCTGAGCTCAGCCATCAGGACCTTCCCTGCGTGAGGTGAGGGTGCTTAGTGATTTTATTTCACATCCACATTGCCACTCCAATCAGAAGTTTGGCAGTTTCCAAGGGTGCTTCCCTGGACAGGACACAGAATTCTGCTTTTTATGGAAACTGCTACCTAAACATCCTATTAAACTCAGGGAATCCAACTCCCTCCTGGAGCAAGACCAGATCTCCTTTTGACCTCAAAGTCTCAAATACCCCACCAACCACTAATAGGACACTACTTTATTCCCACTCTAGCCCTGAAATCCACAAGTTATTAACACTTCTCTGAGCAAGAGTGCCCAGCATTCAGAAAAAATTAGCCAGGTGTTATTTTCATTTGACCAAACGACCTTCTCATTCCTTGGCTAATGAGTCCATATAACAGTGGGAAAAATTTTATTAATATATTATTTTGGGGGGACCATTTGTCAATGACTGTAGATTACCATAGATATAAGATGGTAATGCCACTTGCAGTTGATGTGGTATCTTCACTGAAACAGCAAAATAAAACATAGCCCTTGGCCCGTATGTAGTTACTGATCTAGCAAATGCTTTTTGACATCTCTATCAGCTAAGTTAATAAGAAGCAGTTTGTTTTCAAGTTGCAGGGATAGCAGGATACTTTACTGACTTCCCTAAGGGCTATCTACATCAACTCACCCATTTCTCTTATAATGTGCTTTGGAGGGAACAGAACTTTATGCTAGTCCATTACTTTTATGAAATTATGCCAACTGGACTGTATGAGCAGGAACTATCAAGAACCTATATGCCTTAAGTAAGACACATGAATGCTAGAGGGTGCTAGAGGACCTGCCACATAGGCAAAGTTATTAGGTATCCAGTCATCTTGTTTGGGTACTTTGGGGTATCCCTACTAAAGTGAGATATCAGTTTCTGCATCTTGCCTGGTTCACTGCAAGGAAGGAGGCACAGCATTTTGTAAGCATCTTTGGATTTGGGAGGCTTCATATACCACATATGGGGATGCTGCTCCTAATATTTGCTGGAAAATCTGTCAGGCTGCCAGTTTTGAGTAGGGTCACACCAAGAAAAGCACAAAAGGCTCTTCAGCAAGTCTAGGCTGCTTCACTCTTATGATCTGTTAGACTCAAGGCACTAAACATTAGCTTCAGACAGAGATGTTATAGAGAGCTTCTGGCAGGCTTACAGGGCGAGACTCTCAGGTGTTTAGAATAAGACTTGGCCTCTTCTGACAACTATTCTTGACTTGAAAAACACCTTTTAGTTTGCTGCTGGGTGAGTCAAAGACTGAACACCTGACTTGAAAATAATAAAATATGCGTCATAAATTTAGACATGCACATATCATTCCAGTGTAAAATGAAAATGTTATATATGAGACAGGGCCAAGAAGGGTCTGGAGGCACAAATAAACTGCGTGAGTGAGTGGCTCAGACTTCCATGGTAGCTGCTGTTACTACTCTCTTGCTTTTCCCTTGGACAACTGCTCCAATTCGTTGAGGGAATTCTCTATGACCAGCTGAAGGAGAAGAAAGAATGGGCCTGGCTTATGGATGGATGGCATGTGGACCTCTAAGAGAAATGGATAGCTACTGCATTACAGCCCCACATGGGTGGCACTGAAAGATAGTGAGGAAAGAAAATGTTCTCAGGAGGCAGAATTTTGGGCAGTCTTTTGGGTGTCTATTTAATGTGGAAGGGGAGATAGCACAAAGGGTGAATTGGCCAGTGGTTAAGGAACTGGAAAGAACAAAATAAGAAGAGTGGTGACAAGGTCTGGGGAGATGTCTGTGATGGGCCTCTCAGCATGGGCACAGAGTGGGAAGATATTTGTATCCCATGTAAATGCCCATTAGAGGGCATCCAAGTGGTGAATGAGTGCTTTGAATAATTAAATGGATAAGATGATCTCTCTTAGGGATGTCAGTCTGCCTAATTCCCTAGCCATTTGTATGATTTGTCAATGGTGGTATACAAAATGAACATGGTGGCAGGAATGGAGGCTATGCATGGTCTCACCAATATGAGCTCAGTTTCACCATGACTGATTTGTCTACACCGTCACTGAGTATTCAATCTGCCTATAGCAATATGTACCTGAAATATGACACCATTCATGATATTCAGGTAAGTCTCCTGTGGAATGGCATATGTAGACTCATTTATGGAACCATATGGAGACAAATCTTGTGAGGACAAGGTGTTACAGTGTTCCATCTGCTATTCTACTACTCCTCAGGGATTATTCAGGCCCCCTCCTTTCCCTACACATCAAGCTCGAGGATTTGCCCCACCCAGGACTGACAAATTAGCTTTACTCAACATGTCCCGAGTCAGATAACTGAAATACCTCTTAGTCTAGGTAGATACTTTCACTGGATAGGTAGAGGCCTTTCCTACAGGGTCTGAGAAGGCCACCGCAGTCATTTCTTCCGTTCTGTCAGACATAATTCCTCAGTTTAGCCTTCCCACCTCAATACAGTCTGATAACAGACGAGCCTTTATTAGTCAAATCAGCCAAGCAGTTTTTCAGGCTCTTAGTATTCAGTGAAACCTTTATATCCCTTACGGTCCTCCGTCTTCAAGAAAAGTAGAATGGACTAAAGGTCTTTTAAAAACACACCTCACCAAGCTCAGCCACCAACTTAAAAAGGACTGGACAATACTTTTACCACTTTCCCTTCTCAGAATTCAGGCCTGTCCTCGGAATGCTACAGGATACAGCCCATTTAAGCTCCTGTATAGACGCTCCTTTTTATTAGGCCCCAGTCTCATTCCAGACACCAGACCAACTTAGACTGTGGCCCAAAAAACTTGTCATCCCTACTATCTTCTGTCTAGTCATACTCCTATTCAGCGTTCTCAACTACTCATACATGCCCTGCTCTTGTTTACACTGCCGGTTTACACTGTTTCTCCAAGCCACCACAGCTGATATCTCCTGGTGCTATCCCCAAACTGCCACTCTTAACTCTTGAAGTAAATAAATAATCTTTGCTGGCAGGACTATGCTGAATCTCCTTAGGCACTCTCTAATCAGATGTCCTGAGTCATCCCAATTCTTAAACCTTTTATGCCTGTTTTTCTCCTTCTGTTATTCCATTTAGTTTTTCAATTCGCACAAAACCGTATCCAGGCCATCACCAATCATTCTATACGACAAATGTTTCTTCTAACATCCCCACAATATCACCCCTTACCACAAGGCCTCCCTTCAGCTTAATCTCTCCCACTCTAGGTTCCCACGCCACCCCTAATCCCGCTTGAAGCAGCCCTGAGAAACATCGCCCATTCTCTCTCCATACCACCCCCCAAAAATTTTCGCTGCCCCAACACTTCGACACTATTTTGTTTTATTTTTCTTATTAATATAAGAAGGCAGGAATGTCAGGCCTCTGAGCCCAAGCCAAGCCATCGCATCCCCTGTGACTTGCACCTATACGCCCAGATGGCCTGAAGTAACTGAAGAATCACAAAAGAAGTGAATATGCCCTGCCCCACCTTAACTGATGACATTCCACCACAAAAGAAGTGTAAATGGCCGGTCCTTGCCTTAAGTGATGACATTACCTGTGAAAGTCCTTTTCCTGGCTCATCCTGGCTCGAAAACACCGCCACTGAGCACCTTGCGACCCCCACTCCTGCCCGCCAGAGAACAACCCCCCTTTGACTGTAATTTTCCTTTACCTACCCAAATCCTGTAAAACGGCCCCACCCCTATCTCCCTTCACTGACTCTCTTTTCGGACTCAGCCCACCTGCACCCAGGTGATTAAAAGCTTTATTGCTCACACAAAGCCTGTTTGGTGGTCTCTTCACACGGATGTGCATGAAACCTTAGTACCTTGAATCAAAAGCCACTGGCCTTGTTCAAATCCTAAGAATCCCTTCTGAATCTTTGTGCGCACAGTTACGGCTTCAACAAAATGAGAAACTGACATTTAATCTGACATTTATTCATTCATTCAACAAATATTTGTTGAACACTTGCCATTGTTACCAATGGCAGGTATCTGAGTTACCAGCGGTGAATCCAAACTGTAACACTATGAGCCAGGAATTGTTTTAGGTAGTTGTTATGCATCTGTGAACAAACAAAAAGATTCCTGCCCTCCTGGGGCATATTGAAATATAGAAAGTGAGTATGATATGAAAAGACTTTAGAGAACTCTGGAAATACCATGAATTAATGCCATGAATTGATGAGTTAGTAGAATCCAACATAACTGAAATATGAAATCTAAAAACTAATATATCTAATAATTTATAGGTCTGAACCTAAAAATCTATTAAGATATTTTTGAGGTAGGAATTTACTCTATGTTACTGCCACTTAAGGAGCTGCCAATAATTCTCACAAATAATCAAAAGAATCAATCTTTCCTGTCCATCTAATTCTCCAGAGCTTATTGAGATTCTGCAAAGGAAAAAAATAACTCTGGCTTCCCATGGAAATGCAAATTCATGGGACCCTCCCTGCCCTTTCCATTAATGGGCAGCCCAGGTGATTCTTAAGTAGAGGACCCTGAGAATCAAACTTTGAAAATTCAAATTGCTGCTTTTCTCTTAGCTAATGACCTATATTAAATTACATTTACTACAGGGAAGGCAGAGTTGCCTTTTGCTCAGGTGTGTCAGCCAGCGGTTAGTTTTTTGTCTTGAAATGCAAACGTTTTACAGCACTTTTTTTCAAGTATGTGTGGTACCCATTCTCAATCCCTGATGCTAGGAAGGAGATGGATTTCTATTCAATTAGTTTTTAAAGGATATTCTGAAAGAAATGGAGCCTTACTCTTGAGAGGAAGGAAGTATGAAGGGGATTGATAGAGTTGTTCTCTATTTTATTTTGCATCTACAATGTAATTACAACTGCCTTTAAGAAGTGACTTCTTAGTCTGATAAATGCAATAACAACTTGATGACTGAGAAAGTGACTCAATAAATTACTGAAAATCTATCACATTACTTTGCAAACAGACAAAATAGTCAAACAAAAATCAAATTATTACTCTGAGATTTTTTTCATGGGTGTGTTTGATAGTTATACTTGTGTTTCTCTTAATTTTAACTGATGGTCTATGCTAAATTAGAAAAAATTAAATATTATATAGACACTTCTTGAATAATAGGGGTTTTCATTAGGCAGTTTGGTTTTAAAATGTTCAAATTTTTCTAAGAGTGCACTTGGTTATACACCAAGCTTGTTCAACCTGTGGCCTGCAGGCTGTATGTGACCCAGGACGGCTTAGAATGTGGCTCAACACAAATTCGTAAACTTTCTTAAAACATTATGAGATTTTTTTTGTGATTTTTTTTTTTTTTAGCTCATCAGCTATCATTAGTGTTAGTGTGTTTTATGTGTGGCCCAAGACAACTCTTCTTTCAGTGTGGCCCAGGGAAGCTAAAAGATTGGACATCTCTGTTATACACAATTGTGATCAGAAGTAAGCACCACTCAAGAATGAAATGAAAGTTGTTTTGCATATGACAGGAAATATTTTATTTTATACCAAGTGGATATCCTAGAAAAAAATGGATAAATTACTAGAAAAATGCCATCTACCAAGATTTAATCATGAAATAAAAAGTCTGAACAAACCTATAACCAGTAAGGAGACTGAATCAGTAATCAAAAACCTCCCAGAAAAGAAAAGACAAGGACCAGATGGTTTCATTGGAAAATTCTACCAAATATTTAAAGAAAGGTTAACACCAATCCTTCTCAAGCTCTTCCAGAAAATTAAAGAGGAGGCAAAACCCAATCTTATTCTCTGAGCCCAAAATTAACCTGATAGCAAAGCCAGATCAATCTGCTATGAGAAAAGAATACTATGAGGTTCAATATCCATGATAAATATTAATGCAAAAATTCTGAATAAAATTCTAGCAGAGTTCAAATGTACCTTAAAAGGATTACACACCATGACTAAGTGGGTTTTATCTCTAAGAGGCAAGGGTTATTCAACATATAAAAACCAATCAGTGTAATAAACCACATTAACAGAAGAAAGGATAAAAATTACATAATCATCTCAATTGACACAAAAAGCATTTGACAAAATTTTAATGCCTTTTTATTATAAAAACACTCAACAAACTAGAAATAGAGATACTTTACCTCAACAAAATAAAGGCCATATATGAAAAGCCCACAGCTAGCATCATACTCAATAATGAAAGACTGAAAGCTTTTCATATAAGAGATCAGGAACAAGGCAAGAATGTCCACTCTCTCCACTTCTATTCAACATAGTACTGGCAGTCCTAGCAATTAGGCAAAAACAATTAGGAAAGAAAAAGAAATACAAGGTATCTAAATTGAAAAGGAAGAAATAAAATTATCTGTTCGCAGATGACATTGTTACTGGAAAAGGATCCTGATCCAGAACCCAGGAAAGGGTTCTTGGACCTTGCACAAGAAAGAATTTGGGGCGAGTTCAAAGAGTAAAGTGAAAGTAAGTTTATTAAAAACCTAAAGAAACAAAAGAATGGCTACTCCATAGGCAGAGCAGCAGTATGGGTTGCTCAACTGGATATATTTATAGTTATTTCTTGATTTTATGCTAAACAAGGGGTGGATTATTCGTGAGTTTTCTGGGAAAGGGACAGAGATTTCTCAGAACTGAGGGTCCCTCCTGTTTTTAAACTATAGAGGGTAACTTCCAGTCATTGCCATGGCATTTGTGAACTGTCATGGCGCTGGTGGGAGTGCCTTTTAATATGCTAATACATTATAATTGGCATATAATGAGCAGTGAGGACGTTTAGAGGTCACGTTCATCATCATCTTGGTTTTGGTGAGTTTTGGCCAGCTTCTTTACCTCATCCTGTTTTATCAGCAAGGTCTTTGTAACTTGTATCTTGTGCTGACCTCCTTTCTCATCCTGTGACTAAGAATGCTTAATCTCCTGGGAACACAGCCCAGTAGGTCTCAGTCTTATTTTACCCACCCCCTATTCAAGATGGAGTCACTCTAGTTCGAACGCCTCTGACCATATTTGTAGAGACCTGTAAGAACTCCACAAAAAAAGCTGTTTAAGCTAATAAATGAATTCAGCAAAGTTGCAAGATACAAAATCAACACACAAAAATCAGTTGCATTTCTATACATTAACAATGAACAACCTTAAAAGATAATTAAGAAAAAAATTCATTTATTATAGCATCAAAAATATATAATACTTAGGAATAAACTTATGCAAAGAGGTGAAAGACTTATACACTAAAAACTACACCACATTGCTGAAAGAAATTAAAGAAGACACAAATCAATGAAAAAACATCCTATTTTCACAGATTGCAAGACTTAATATTATTAAAATATGCAAACTATGTAAAGTAATCTACAGATTCGATGCCATCCCTATGAAATTTCAATGGAATTTTTAAAAATAAAAAATTCTCAAATTCATATGAAATCTCAAAAGAAGCCATATAGTCAAAACAATCCTAAGAGAAATGAGAAAACCAGAATCCTCACACTTCCTGATTACAAAACATATTCCAAAGCTACTGCAATCAAAACAGTATGGTATTGATGTAAAGACAGACATACAGACCAGTGGACCAGAATAGAGTCCAGAGATATATTTTCATGGGGATTGAACCATTTTGCATCACCACTAACAGTGCACAGGGGTTCCAATTTCTCCACATTCTTGCCAGCCCTTGTTATTTTCTGTTTTTGTTTTTTTTTTGTTTGTTTTTGTTGTTGTTTTTGTTTTTTAAATAGCAGCCATGCTAATAGGTATAAAGTGATATCTCACTGTGGCTTTGACATGCGTTTTCTAAATAATTAGTGATGTTGAACACCTTTTCATATGCTTTTTGGGCATTTGTATATCTTCTATGGAGAAATATGTATATAAGTCCTTTGCCAATTTTTTAAGTTGGGTTATTTTTGTTGTTAAGTTACAGGTGTTCTTCATATATTCTTGATATTGACTCCTTCCCAGATATATGATTTGCAAATATTTTATCCTATTCCATAAATTGTCTTTTCACTCTGTTGATTGCTTTCTTTGCTGTGCAGAAGCTTTTTAGTTTGATGTAGTTCCATTTGTCTATTTTTGCTTTCATTGCTTGTGCTTTTGGTGTCATAGCCAATAAATCATTGCCAAATTCAGCTTTGTAAAGATTCTTCCCTATTATTTTAGGAGTTTTAAAGTTTCAGATCTTTAATCCCATTTTGACTTCATTTTAAAATATGGTATAATGTAAGAGTCCAACTTCATTCTTTTGTACATAGATATTCAGTTTTCTCAATACCATTTGTTGAAGAAAATATTCTTTCCCCACTTTATAGTCTCAGTGCCCTTGTTGAAGATCACTTGACCAGTGGGTATAGAGTCAGTTTTGCAAGATGAAAAGTTCAAGAAACCTGTCAAAACAATGAGCTATAGTTAGCATTACTATGCTGTACACTTAAAAATGGTTGAGATAGTAAATTTTATGGTTTTTACCACATTAAAATAATGAAATAAAATATTGCCAGCACCACAGAAGTCCCTTGAAACTATCTTAATCAATCACTTACACCAGCCTCAAAGGTGATTATTATATCTAACATTATAATTTAATTTTGCCTGTTCTTGACATTTATATTAAAGGAAATTAATATTATGCTTTGAGATATATCTATGTTGTAGCATGTAGCTGTAGTTTATTCTTTTCTATTGCTACATGGTATTCCATTCTACTGTTGATGCCTATTTTAGTCATTTCCACTCTAGGTCTATTATAAATAATGCTGCTTTAAACATTCTTGTATATTTCTCTTGTTTCACATGTGCACATATTTCTATTAAGTACATACCAATGAGCAGAATAGCTAAAAATGGCATAAATAGGGTGACCATCTAACTTGCTTTCTCCAGCAATAGCACCTCTCCGTGCCAATTATCCCAGCATTTTAGCAAGTTTAGCCTGTGTCCTTGTCCTTCCCTCCCTCCCTCCCTTCCTCTCTCCTTTCCTCCCTCCCTCCCTCCTTTCCTCTCTCCCTCCTCCCTTCCTTCCTTGACTTTATTCTTGTGCCCTTTACATTCTAGTTGAAGTCCCTTTTTTCTCATTGAAACACCTTTGTCACTCAACTTTTTATACCTTAAGTCTGCTTAATGACATAATTCATACTATAAGCAAATAGGCTACAAACTACAGCAGTGCAGGCTGCCCTGGCAGTAATGAGGCATCGATCAGACTCCTTTAGAAATTATCTGGATCTGGACAGAAGACATTTGCAATAGGCTTAAAAATGTTTCAACATTTCTACCAGAATAGTCAGAAATAATACACGGTTTGATGAGGGAAATAAAAACTTGGCAGACACATACTTGAAAGAAAGGAAAAGACTCACACCAGTTAGAATGGCAATCATTAAAAAGTCGGGAAACAACAGATGCTGGAGAGGATGTGGAGAAATAAGAACACTTTTACACTGTTGGGAGTGTAAATTAGTTCAACCATTGTGGAAGACAGTGTAGCGATTCCTCAAGGTTCTAGAACTAGAAATACCATTTGACCCAGCAATCCTATAACTGGATATACACCCAAATGATTTTAAATCATTCTACTATAAAGATACATGCACACATATGTTTATTGCGGCACTATTCACAATAGCGAAGACTTGGAACCAACCCAAATGTCCATCAATAACAGACTGGATAAATAAAATGTGGCATATATACACCATGGAATACTATGCAGCCATAAAAAAGAATGAGCTCATGTCCTTTGCAGGGACATGGATGAAGCTGGAAACCATCATTCTCAGCAAACTAACACTAGAACAGAAAACCAAACACTGCATGTTCTTCCTCATAAGTGGGAGTTGAACAATGAGAACACATGGACACAGGGAGGGGAACATCACTCACCAGGGCCTGTTGGGGGGTGGGGGGCTAGGGGAGGGATAGCATTAGGGGAAATACCTAATGTAGATGACAGGTTGATGGGTGCAGCAAACCAGCATGGCACATGTATACCTATAACAATCCTGCATGTTCTGCACATGTACCCCAGAACTTAAAGTATAATTTTAAAAAAAGAAAGAAAAAGACTTTCACACAAAACTGAATAAATGACACACAAGAACAAAATTCAGAAGACACCAATACAAACATACTCCCTCTTCCTTCTCTACACATAATTCATTATTAAATTTATCTTTGTAGTGAGATTGTTCTGCCAATGTGATCTCTATCACTAAAGATTTAATTCCATGTTTACTCAACTTTGGTCCAGGAAATGCATGTTCTATGAGGTATTAATAGGATTCTCATAAAAGTATTTTCTATTCTAATCAGTTGGAGTAGCTTTGCATAGTACATCTGCCTGCTTCACAAGAAACATATTAAAGGCTCTAGGAATTCCTAGAACAGTAAAGAGACATTAACCAAATATTTAACAAAGTTATTTTGGCTGCTAAATCATGGAACATCTTCTTAATATCTTACTGAATTGCTCAACAGCTTTGTGTTCCTTTTTGGGAGTGGTAATTTAGTATCAGAGAACAATTCATTTCTAAATCTAGCAATGGGCTAAGAAGATAGAAGGCTCCCCATTATTTTTCCAGGAGTTTCGTCTCACATAAGTTAAGGTGTGCTCACTACCTCCTAGTATTTCATCTCCCATAGCATTTTAATTTTATTTTTCTCCTACACCTTTAAAATTTACTTTTTAAAATTGACAGAGTACATTGCATGTTTTTATCAGATACAACATGATGGTTTGAAGTACATATGCATTGTGGAATGGCTAAATCTAGCTAATTAACAAGACGCATTACATAACATCATTATAATTTTTGTGTTAAGAGCACATAACGTCCACTGTCTTTACATTTTTTTCAAGAATACATTATATCATCATTAACTACAGTCACCTTGTCATAAAATAGTTCTCTTAAAATTTATTCTTCCTATCCAAGTATAATTATGTATCCTTTGACCAACTTCTTCCCATCTCTCCTCCCCGCCAACCATCCCACCAGTAACCACTGTTACCACTGCTCTCTACTTCTACGAGATCAGCTTCTCTAGATTCCACATATCAGTGAGATCATGAGACATATGTTTTTCTGTGTCTGGCTGATTTCATTTAACATAATATCCTTTCGGTTGACCCATGATGGTTGCAAATGGCATTTTACGTTTTTACGGCTGATTATTTCATTGTGTATATATACCACATTTTCTTTATCCATTCATTCATTGATAGACACTTAGATTGATTACATGCCTTTCCCACAACATTTTTAGGCTTGGGAAATCAGATGAGGAATAGACTCTGGTATATGGATATCAGAAGTCAGAGGTGCTGATTCTGACACTAATAACTGTAACCTCTGAACTCCTGTTACCTTCTCTATAGGATGGAGCTAATCCCTGCTTTTTAATTTAATATCAACAAATATTAAAAGCTAGTCCTCAGGAAATTTTTCATCTAAAGAAATAGTGGGGCCAGGTGCAGTGGCTCATGCCAGTGATCTCAGCATTTTGGGAAGCCGAGGTGGGAGAATCACTTGAGCCCAGGAGTTTAAGGCCAGCCTGGACAACACAGTGAAACCCTGCCTCTACAAACACACACACACACACACACACACACACACACAAATTAGCTGGGCATGGTGGTACACACCTGTAGTCCCAGCTACTTGGGAGGCTGAGGCAGAAGCATCACCTGACCCCAGGGAGGTCAAGGCTGCAGTGAGCCATGATCACACCACTGCACTTCAGACTCCAGCCTGGGCAACAGAATGAGACCCCGTGAAAAAAAAGCAAGAAAGCAAGAAAGAAAACAAGAAAGCCAGAAAGAATGCAAGAAAGCAAGAGAAAGGGAGAGAGAGAGAGAGAAGGAAAAGAAAGAGAGAAAGAAAGAAAGAAAGAAAGAAAGAAAGAAAGAAAAAGAGAGAAAGAAAGAAAGAAAGAAAGAAAGAAAGAAAGAAAGAAAGAAAAGAAAGAAAGAAAGAAAGAGAAAGAAAGAGAAAGAAAAAAGAGACAGAGGGAGGGAGGGAGGAATGGAGGAAGGGAGGAAGGAAGGAAGGAAGAAAGACATGATTGATAGATGATTAAAGGTATAAAAATAGACAAGAAAATATCAGCAAGTGTTAATTGCTTGTTATTAAGTCCTGTGAGAAGAGTTAACATAAGATAATGTGACGGTGTTTAGATGACTGCTTTTGACTGAATAACTAGGGAAAGACTCTAAGGAGGTGATATTTCAATTGAAATTTGAAGTACAGGCAGGAAGATCTCGGGGATGAGCACCTCAAGAGAAAGAGCTACCGGGGATCTTAACACGACTTTGTGAAACAGGATTGAAGGAGAGAGGGGAGAGATTGGCTTGGAGAGGGAGGCAGACACCAGGTCAACTATGGCCTTGCAAACCATACTCTTTGGATTTTATTTCAATTACAATTACAAGGCACTAAAACATTTTAAGCATGAGGAAAGTGACATCACATACCCATCTATGCCATTGAGTGGTTGTAAAGAACAAACTAAGAATGTGCATTAATCAAAATTCCAGTGGGACATACTCAGGCCAGGTAATTTGAGGAGAATTATTTAAAGAGACTATTATGGGCAGGTTTTAAGGAACAAACCAGAGATAGTTAATTACCCACTGGCTACTAATAGAGGGGAACCCATTACCCCTTAACCCTGAAGGGGTAAGATAGTTCAGTGGCTATCTAAACCCGAGGAAGTTGTTAGGTGGTGAATTCCAGCGGAAAAGGGCTGTAGACTGGAGGAAATGGGCATGGCCAACCTGCAGCTCTGTGAAAAGAAGGAGCCACAACTTCACTCTCTTCTGCTTCCCATTGGGCAAACCCAATCAGGAGCCAGAGGCAAAGTCCGTTGATCAAGATCCACACAGACAATGATAGATGACGGTGGAGGATGGATCTGGTAGAACAGCAGAAAGGATCCAGCATAGCCTTGCTTCTTGACATCCACTCTCATCCTTTGCCTAGGTGACAACTTTGTGTTCCCAACCAGTTACCATATCTTCAAGGCCAGAACACTTGCAACCTAAAAATGTTAGCCATCAGCAGTGCTCTTCATAAAAGGAGTGGGAGGAAACATGGGGATAAGAAACAATGATCAGAGGCCATAGCTGTTAAAATCTCTGCTTCTGTAACTGGTTAGTATGTCTAAGTTGTTAACCACAGCATCTTTCTTCCAATGCCCATTTCATGTTTCCTTATTCTATGAAAGTATCTTGGTTGAATGGATTTTTAACCTGATTGCCTGAGTCAAACTTTAGTCCTACAGGAGCTGAGCCATTTGGTGGTCCTATCTTTACTACACTGCCACAATTTTCTATTGCCAAGGGCCGTGGGGTAATAAAGTCCTAAGTAGCCACAAACCCCACTGGGGTTCCATAAATAATCCTCCTCACCCCCACTGCACATTTGTTTCTCCTTGGTAATCAGGATCAATCACCCAGCCAGTACATGCAATAAGCTCTTCTCTGTCTTTGCTTCATCAGCCTGAAATGGCCAGTGGGCAATCTCAGTTTCTAATTCAATGGAACTATTATTGTATTCCCTTAGGGATTCGTTTCTCCTTCTGTTACTATAAACCCACAGAATCCAAGATTGCATGGATGGGAAGAAAACATTCCCCAAAACAAATATTTGGTATAATAAAGTCCATTCTCACCTCCAGCCCTTGAATCTTGGACATATGGTTTCCCAAGCATGGGAAACCACTTGTTTAATGAATATGCTGCATCATATAAGAAGTTATTTCCTTGAGGAACACTGAGAAGTGATTTCCTTGAGGATAGATTTCCACGATGGAAAGGAAATGAGAGGTTCTAAGAGGCGGGCTAGTGGCTTGTACTATAGTATAACCTGCCTTTGCTGGTGTGTGGTGATTAGGCCTGGTGGAACCACCATCAATAAATCAAGCGTGATCAGGGTGAGGAACAGGAAAGAAGGAAATTTGGGGAAATGGGGTGAATGTCAGGTGGATCAGAGAGATACAGTCATGGGGGTCAGGTGTGGTATCAGGAATAATGTGGGAGGCCGGATTGAAGTCTGGGCCAGGAACAACGGTAATTGTGGGAGACTCAACAAAGAGTGAGTACAGCTGAAGAAGCCGGGGAGCAGAAAGTATATGCATCAGGTATGAGGCAGAAAATAGATTTTGGAAGTTATGAGAACTGTAGAGAGTGAGTTGAGCGTAGTTTGTGATTTTGAGGGCCTCTAAAAGTATTAAAGCAGCGGCAGCCGCTGCATGCATACATGAGGGCTAGGCTAAAACAGTAAGGTCAAGTTGTCTGGACAGAAAGGCTACAGGGTGCGGTCCTGGCTCTTGTGTAAGAATTCTGACCGCGCTAACCATGCCTAGGAAGCAAAGGAGTTGTTGTTTTGTAGAAGGTGCTTGGGTTTGAGAGATCAGTTGGACACGATTGGCAGGGAGAGCACATGTGTTTTTATGATAATTATGCCGAGATAGGTAACAGATGAGGAAGAAATTTGGGCTTGATTGAAGTAATGGGGGCTGTCTGTGAAGCTTTGTGGCAGTACAGCCTAGGTAATTTGCTGAGCTTGATGGGTGTCAGGGTCAGTCCAAGTGAAAGCGAAGAGAGGCTGGGATTAAGGGTGCAAAGGAATAGTAAAGAAAGCATGTTTGAGATATAGAACAGGATAATGGGTTGTAGAGGCAGGTATTGAGGATAGGAGAGTATATGGGTTTGGCACCATGGGGTGGATAGGCAAAACAATTTGGTTGATAAGGCATAGATCCTAAACTAACTTGTAAGGCTTGTCTGGTTTTAGGACAGATAAAATGGGGGAATTGTAAGGAGAGTTTATAGGCTTTGAAAGGCCATGCTGTAGCAGGCGAGTGATAACAGGCTTTAATCTTTTTAAAGCTTGCTGCGGGATGGGATATTGGCGTTGAGTGGGGTAAAGGTGATTTGGTTTTAATGAGATGGTAAGGGGTGCATGATTGGTCGCCAAGGAGGGAATAGAGGTATCTTATACTTGTGGGTTAAGGTGGGGGGATACAAGAGGAGGATGCAAAGGAGGCTTTGGATTGGGAAGAAGGGAGGCAATGAGATACAGCTGTAGTCCAGGAATAGTCAGGGAAGCAGATAATTTAGTTAAAGTGTCTCAGCCTAATAAGGGAACTGGGCAGGTGGGGATAACTAAAAGGAGTGCTTAAAAGAGTATTGTCTAAGTTGGCACCAGAGTTGGGGAGTTTTAAGAGGTTTAGAAGCCTGGCCGTCAATACCCACAACAGTTATGGAGGCGAGGGAAACAGGCCCTTGAAAAGAAGGTAATGTGGAGTGGGTAGCCTCCGTATTGATTAAGAAGGGGATGGGCTTACTTTCCACCGTGAGAGTTACCTGAAGCTCGGCGTCCGTGATGGTCTAGGGGGCTTTCGAGGCGATCGGGCGGTGTCAGTCTTCAGCCGCTAAGCCGAGAGGATCTGGGAAGGAGTCAGAGAGCCTTGGGCCAGAGTTCCAGGGGCTCTGGGAGTGGCTGCCAGGTGAGTTGAACAGTCCGATTTTCAGTGGGGTCCCACACAGATGGGACGCAGCTTAGGAGGAATCCCGGGCTTCGGGCATTCCTTGGCCCAGTGGCCAGATTTCCGGCACATGTAGCAAGCTCCTGTGGGAGGAGGTTCTGGAGGAACGCCTGGCCGCTGCGGTTCAGGCGTTTGGAAGTTCTTGTGTGCTGGAGATGTGGCTGGGGTTTGTCTCACAGTGGAGGCAAGGAATTGCAACTTTTTTCTATTATTGTACACCTTGAAGGCGAGGTTAATTAAATCCTGTTGTGGGGTTTGAGGGCCGGAATTTAATTTTTGGAGTTTTATTTAATGTTGGGAGCAGATTGGGTAATAAAATGTATTTTGAGAATAAGACGGCCTTTTGACCTTTTAGGGTCTAGGGCTGTAAAGCGTCTCAGGGTTGCTGCCAAACAAGTCATGAACTGGGCTGGATTTTTATATTTGATGAAAAAGAGCCTAAACGCTTCTGATTTGGGATGAAGAAAAAGGAGCATTAACCTTGACTATGCCTTTAGCTCCAGCCACCTTTTTAAGAGTAAATTGCTGGGCAGGAGGGGGAGGGCTAGTCACGGAACGAAACTGTAAGCCAGACCAGGTGTGAGGAGGGGAGGCGATAAAAGGATTATAGGGTGGAGGAGCAGAGCCTGAGGAAGAATTGGGATCTAGCTCGGCCTGGTGAGGAGCAGCCTGGGGAGGAAGGGAGAGGTCAGATGGGTCTGTAGAAAAGGAAGATTAGAAAGACTCAGCGACGCTTCGGGTTGATACTGAGGGGACAGGCGGGAGGGAAAGAAGGAAGATTTGGGACGAGTTGCACTGGGCACAGAGACTAGGAAGGGGCTGATGTGTAAAAGAATGCCTGGACGTCAGGCACCTCAGACCATTTGCCTATTTTACGACAAGAATTATTTAGATCTTGCAGGATGGAAAAATTCAAAGTGCCATTTTCTGGCTATTTGGAACTACTGTTGAGTTTGTATTGGGGTCAAGCGGCATTGCAGAAGAAAATAAGGCATTTAGGTTTTAGGTCAGGTATGAGTTGAAGA
Source organism: Homo sapiens (assembly GCF_000001405.40). NCBI lineage: Eukaryota > Metazoa > Chordata > Mammalia > Primates > Hominidae > Homo > Homo sapiens. Next base: position 87,923,187 of record NC_000004.12, on the reverse strand, counting down.
GGTTTTAAGTTTTTGAGAACACAGGCCAAGGGAGTAGAAGGAGGAATGGAGGGTGGAAGCTTGCCTATAGTGAAGGAAGCAAGCCTAGAGAAAAGAGAGAGTAGAGAAACAGAGGGAAGGGGTTTGGGGGTTCTTACTTTCCAGAAAAGTGGGAAAAGGGGTTGGGGCACAGAGATAAGAGGTCAGGGCATGGAAATAAGGGATGGGGCGCAGAAATAAGGGGTCGAGGCATGGAAATAAGGGGTTGGGGCACAGAAATAAGGGGTTGAGGTGCAGAGATATAAGAGGTTGGGGCACGGAAATAAGGGATTGGGGCGCAGAGATATGAGGTTGTGGTACTTGCCCCTCCGCCAGAAAAGCGGGACTTGCTGCTAAGGGTGAAGGAGAAGGGGTTGAGGGGTACTTGCCCCTCCCCCAGAAAAGCAGAGAAGGGGTAGAGACAAGGAGAGAAGGGGTTGGGGTACTTGCCCCTTTCCCAGAAAAGTGGGACTTGCCGCTAAGGGTGAAGGACCAAGGCAGGCGTCCCTGCGTGGTCTGACACCTTTGAAATGTGGGTGAATAATCAGAGAGGCGTCCCTGCATTGATTAAACACCAAGGGAAGGCTGCCTTCCCAGTCCGTGACCGGCGCCGGAGTTTTCGGTCCACGGATAAAACATGTCTCCTTTGTCTCTCCCAGAAAATGAAAGGAATTGAAATTAAGAGAAGGGAGAGTGAAGAGTGGAAAGGAGAAAGTGGTTGAGGGACAGTGAGAGAGGTTGGAGAAGAGAGTAAGAAGAGGCTGCTTACCTGATTTAAAATTGGTGAGATGTTCCTTGGGCTGGTCAGTCTGAGGACCTGAGGTCGTAGGTGGATCTTTCTCACCGAGCAAAGAACAGGAGGACAGGGGATTGAGCTCCCAAGGGAGGTCCCCCGATCCAAGTCACGGCACCAAATTTCATGCGCGTCTGTGTGAAGAGACCACCAAACAGGCTTTGTGTGAGCAATAAAGCTTTTAATCACCTGGGTGCAGGTGGGCTGAGTCCGAAAAGAGAGTCAGTGAAGGGAGATAGGGGTGGGGCCGTTTTATAGGATTTGGGTAGGTAAAGGAAAATTACAGTCAAAGGGGGTTGTTCTCTGGCGGGTAGGAGTGGGGGTCGCAAGGTGCTCAGTGGGAGTGCTTTTTGAGCCAGGATGAGCCAGGAAAAGGACTTTCACAAGGTAATGTCATCACTTAAGGCAAGGACCGGCCATTTACACTTCTTTTGTGGTGGAATGTCATCAGTTAAGGTGGGGCAGGGCATATTCACTTCTTTTGTGATTCTTTAGTTACTTCAGGCCATCTGGGCGTGTATACGTGCAAGTCACAGGGGACGCGATGGCTTGGCTTGGGCTCAGAGGCCTGACATAAGGGATGTACAGATGTTTCTACTTAAATTTGCTTGTGCAGATTGGTAAGGGCATCAACGAAAAATTAACTGTTCTTCTAAAAGTCTTGGGAAGGAAAGAAGATAAGGAGACAGGAAATGGAACAACTAGTCATAGAAGAAAGGAGAGAAGGAGGAAAAGCTCAGGGAAGAAAGGTTGGGCAAACTTAGAAATTGAGTAAGGTTTCAAGTGACAGAGAGTAGGCAATTCAGGTCCAAAATCCCTTATCTACAATTCTGAAATTATGAAAGCATGAAAACAAACATTTTTAAAAATTCATTTGATAGCAAAACCTGACCTGAATTACTGTGAAGGTTTTCATAGTCTTTCTCTTGTGTAGCGGGAATATTTCTTTGTTTTACTGCAATAAGGTTAACATTGTGGATGAAAAAGAGTCAAACTTTGTAAAATATTTGAAAGGATTTATTCTAAGCCAAATATGAATAACCAAGGCCCGAGGCACAGTCTCAAGAGGTCCTGAGAACATGTGCCCAAGGTGGTTGGATTACAGCTTGATTTTGTACATTTTAGGGGGACAGAAGTTACAGGCAGACATCAATCAATATATATAAGGCCTAAGTTGGCTTGGTCCAGAAAGGGAGGACAACTTGAAGCAGAGGCTTTCAAGTCATAGGTAGCTTCAAAGGTTTCCTGACTAGCACTTGGTTGATAGAGTTATTAGCTAAAGAACTGGAATCAATAGAAAGGAATGTCTGAGTTAAGATAAGGGATTTTGGAGGCCAAGCTTCTTACTATGTAGATGAAGCCTCCAGGTAGCAGCCTTCAGAAAGAATAGATGAAAATGTCTCTTATTAGACTCCAAAAGTTACCAAACTCTTAATTAATCTCTCCTGGATCAGGAAAAGACCTGGAAATGGAAGGGGATTCTCTATACAATGTAGATTTTTCCCGTAGGAGACAGCTTTGCAGGGTCATTTCAAAATATGTCAAAGAAATATATTTTGGGATAAAATACTCAGATTTCTTTCAGGGCCTGCTATATGTCATGTGATGAGATACTAGAGTCAGGTTGGAATTTGGTATATTATTGCTACAAAGTGCCTATTTTGTCAGTCTTAAGATCTCTGTTTTAATGTTAATGCTGGTCAGTTGTGCCTGAATTCCAAAGGGAGGAGAGTATAATGAGGGATGTTTGGCTGTCCCCTCTTCCCATCATAGTCTGAACTAGTTTTTCAGGTTAACTTCGTAATGCCCTTGGCAGAGAGAAAGGATCCATTCAGTCAGTTGGGAGGCTTAGAATTTTATTTTTGGATTACAATATGATTGATTATGGGGTATTGCCCTAGACTCTTCTGTAATATACATATATAAATATCATTATCTTTATAAAAATCAAGATAATTCTGAACTCCCGAACACCTCTGGCCCCAAGGGCTTCAGATAAAGGATTGTGGACTTGTATAACTAACATTTCACAAAGGTATGTGAAAGGGGAATACATTTGTCCAGGTCTCAGAGTATTATGTGGGTGTTTGGGGTTAAATGATGTCTCCCTCACCTTCAAATTCTTATGTTAAAGCCCTCTCCCCCAAGTATCTCAAAATGTGACCTTATTTGGAGATAGGGTCTTTACAGAGGTAACCAAGTTAAAATAAGGTCACTAGGGTAGGCCCTAATGCAGTATGACTGGTGTTCATACAAAAAGAGGAAATTTGGGTATGAACAGGCGTAGAGAGAAGATCGCTATCTACAAGCCAAGAAGAGAGGCTAGAACAGATCCTTTTCTCTTAGCTCTCAGAAGGAACTAACCCTGCCCACACCTTGATCTTGGACTTCCAGGCTCCAGAACTGTGAGACAATAAATTTCTGTTCTTTAAGTCACCCAGTCTGTGATACTTTGTTACAGGCCCGTAGGAAACAAATACAGTAGATTTGTGAGTGCTGTGAACCCCAAATATCAGAGACAGGTCTCAGTCAATTTAGAAAGTTTATTTTGCCAAGGTTAAGGACACACCCGTAACACAGCCTCAGGAAGTCCTGACAGTATGTGACCGAGGTGGCCAGGGGTACAGTTTGCTTTTATACATTTTAGGGAGACATGAGACATCAATCAATATGTGTAAGATGTATATTGGTTCATTCTGGGAAGGTGGGACAACTTGAAGTGAAGGCTTCCAGGTTAGAAGTAGATAAGAGACAAAAGGTTGCATTCTTTTGAGTCCTTGATCAGCCTTCCACTGAATGCACAATCTAGTCTGACTTAGTGAATCTGCATTTTTACATAAACAATAGGGCAGAGGAAGCAATCAGGTATGCGTTTGTCTCAGGTGAGCCTCACAGGGATGATTTTGAGCTCTGTCTGTCCTTTGTCCACAAGGAATTTCCTGTGGGCAAATTGTAAGGGAGATATGTAGCTTCTTATCTTTGTAGCTATCTTATTTAGGAATAAAATGGGAGGCAGGTCTGCCTAACATAGTTCCCAGCTTGACTTTACTCTTGGCTTAGTTATTTTGAGATTCCAAGATTTATTTTCCTTTCATAGTGCTCTACAGGAAATGCAGGAGATATTGGCGTGCTGCAGGTAAAGGGAATAAGACCTGCCTGGCACAGTGGCTCATGCCTGTAATCTCAGTGCTTTGGGAGTCCAAGGCAGGAGGATCGCTTGAGGCCAGGAATTCAAGATCAGCCAAGGCAACATGGCTAGACTCCAGTCTTCACAAAAAATTAAAAAATTATCTAGGTTGGGAGACTGAGGTGGGAGGCTCACTTGAGCCCAGGAATTCAAGACTGCAGTGAGTTATGATCACGCACTCCAGCCTGGGTGATGGAGTGAGGTTCTGTCTTTCTAAAAATAAAATAAAATAAATAAAACAAAATAAAGCCAAAAGTGGCTTAAAAGTTTGAATTGGAGATAAATAGTTCTAGGGTTGTTTCAGTGTCTCGATGCTGTCATCAAGGACCTGGCCCCTCTTTTCTTGCCTTTTTTCCCCTCTTCCCTTCCCTCCCCTCCCCTCCCCTGCCCTCCCTCCCTCCCTTTCCCTCCCCTTCCCTTCCCTTCCCTCTCTTCTCTTTTCTTCTTTTTCACCTCCTCCTTCCCTCCTCCTCCTCCTCCTCCTTCTCCTCCTACTCTTCTTCACCATCAGTGTGGCAGCAGTATCTCTCTCCATGGCTATACAATGGCATCAGTTGCTCCAAGTATTATATCCTCATATGACAAAATGTAAAATAGGAAAGGAAGAGGTTCTTCTTGAGGCTTTCTCAGCAGTCTCCCTATATTTATTTCATTGGTCAGAACCAAGTCACATGGCCATTGCCTGCTGCAGGCAGGCTTGGAGAGGGGGTACAGTCTGTTCTGCCACATCCATTTCCAGAAAATGAATTAGTACACAGACATGCATTGATAAATAGGGGAATTATGTCGATATACTCTGGAAGTTGTGTTGGTGTAGCAAAAAAGCAGAATATAGCAGCCTAGCAGGAGAGAGAATTAATAATAACGTTTAGCAGGAAAAGTAAAAGCCTTTAGCTGTACAGGCAGGAAACTTTTTTAACTTTGTGAAAGAAAATTTAAAATGAATGCTTATTCCCGACACTCCCTTATGTGAGGGCACCTGTTACTCCTGAGTCTCATACAACTCTAAGCCTGTGGCGGGTTGCACTTCCTCCTATATTTCACTTGCATCCGTGTGAAGAGACCACCAAACAGGATTTGTGTGAACAACAAGGCTGTTTACTTCACCTGAGTGCAGGTGGGCTGAGTCTGAAAAGAGAGTCAGCGAAGAGAGATAGGGGTGGGGCCGTTTTATAGGATTTGGGTAGGTAAAGGAAAATTACAGTCAAAGGGGGTTGTTCTCTGGTGGGCAGGGGTGGGGGACACAAGGTGCTCAGTAGGGGAGCTTTTGAGCCAGGATGAGCCAGGAGAAGGCATTTTACAAGGTAATGCCATCAGTTAAGGCAGGAACAGGCCATTTTCACTTCTTTTGTGATTCTTCAGTTACTTCAGGCCATCTAGATGTATATGTGCAGGTCACAGGGGATATAATGGCTTAGCTTGGGCTCAGAGGCCTGACACTATACCGACTCTATCAGCAGCCTCACTGTCTCAGAATTCTGGAATGCATTCCATATTGTTCTTTCTTTCTTTCTCTTTTTAAAGTGACTTCTTAAGCATAACATATATGAACCATATGTGAATACATGAACCAGAAATGAATAGTCCATGTTGTTTTAATGCATTTTATTATATCCTGAGTAGCTCTAGCTATCTTAACTACCTGCCTGGGGTTGTCCAAGTTATATTCTGAAATACCCACTATTTTTTTTTAGGTCTACTTTAACCCCCAACCCCTTCTTTTTCCTATAAGCTCTGTTATTTTTAGGGCCTAATTTTGCAAAAAAACAAGGATTTCCAGTAATGGACTTATAGCTGAAACAACTGAATCTGACATTTTCAGTTCCTGTCCCAAGAACAGGGCTCTGTCAGCTGGAAGAAGCAGGTGCAATGATTTGTTGGGTAGAGGTCAGCAATGCCCGTCTCATAGTGCATATGGACATAACTTTACTCTCACAGGTTCAATATTTGACATGACGAGAATGGTTCAGAAAAAGTAAAAATTGCTACAGGTGAATGTGGAAACTGACAGTTTAATGTAATTGGTAGTAGATTGTCATTCAAGTGCAATTTGTATTGTTACTAACAGATTTGTGTACAAGGTTTGGGAAGGATTTGTGGCTCCTCCTTTGCCATCACGTGGATGTAGGAGAGGGGAATGAGAGGCTGGTCAACCAGATTAGCAAAGCCTTTTTATCTATGCACAGCAGATCTTTGAGCAGCCCCAGACTACAGAAGCTGCTTGGAAATGTGGAGATGAGGATTCACTGGCCAATGCTTAGGCATTCTAGGGGAATTTTTGGAGTGGGGGATAACTGCGAACACCCAGACAGGCCACAAACATCCAGAAGTAGCTTTCCTTGAAGGAAGCTAGAGCATATTAGCACATGGGCCAGCCTGGGAAACATGAGTCATACAGTCCCCCCAGCCTGACCTGCCCCCGGATAGCAGAACCCACACTGCTGGGCCACAGGGAGTAATTGTAGGTTCTCCATAAGGCACTTCTCTGCATTCAGCCAACTGAGAGGAGAGAAATATCATCAATCTTGATTTAAATAGAAAAATATCTTTCACAACTCCCTTTAGCGATTACCTAGATTCTTCTTAAAGATCACCAGTGACAGGTAATGTACTCTCTTTGGAATTTATACTATATAGTTAAGAGAATGGATTCAAGTCAGACTGCCTGGGTTCAAATACCAGTTACTCTACTCAACCAATGATCTGATCTTGATCAAATTATTTAACATCCTGGGTCTCAGTCCTTTCATCTATAAAATGATGGTAATAATATATAGCATAAGGTTGTGAAGATTTTATATATATATATGTATACATACATATATACACACATATATATACACACACATATATTTAGTTAGAACATAATTAAGTTATATATATAACTTTATCTATATATATAACTTATATGTATGTAACTTAGAGAAACCTAGCACCATACAAGTGTCATTCTTAGTACTATTATTGCAATTATTTTTATTAGAATGACCAAATCAAAGATCATCCAAATCAGAACACATGGTCTGACCAGAAACTTGATTCCGTTTCTTGGTTGAACTGAGAAGTTAAGTTGGATATCAAAATATTTGTAAAAAACATTTGTTGCCTTTACCCACCTCCTCATCTCCTATTCTTTCTTCCATTCATTCTTTTGGAAACTATCTAGCAGTTTCTCTCTGGAGGGCTGTATTCTCTGCTCTCAGAATAAGTACTTCAAATGCTTCAAGTAGGGATAACACTGTCTCCATCTCCAGGAGTGGGCATGTGATTCAGTGCTGGCCAGTCAAAGGCATACATTCCCCTGACCATGTGATTTGTTCAGACTTGGGCATGAAACGTTGTCAGAGCCAGTGGGGAACGAGTGTTTTGCCAGGTCAGCAGGAAGAAGCACAGATGCGCTCATTGTACGAGTTGGACCTGGGGGGCTTTTGGAGCTGCTGGTAGCCATTTGGCAGCATATAATGCCTAAGGAAAAATCCGTGGCATATATTTGTTATTCTTTTTGGCCACTGAGCACCTTCGAACAACTTTCCTATGTTGATGAATTCCCCAACTGATGAGAACATCTTTGTAAAAGCTAGATTCTTACCTTTGAGTCTTTCTTACTCCAGTATATGTGTGTTCTAGGATTTGCTATCAGACCCACTCTTGTCAGACTTTTAATCAGAAGCCAATGAGGTAAATAAGGACTTTATTCTCAGGAGGCAGTAGCAGCTTTATCCCATTTCTAGAAGCACAAATAGCAATGATTCTAGCAGGAGCATCCAGTGCCTGAAACTAGAACTGTTGGGACCAGTTATACTGGCAATGGTATCTCCAGTGAGTTGGTTTTTAACCTGATTTGCAGTTGAGTTACTGGATACAAGTTCCCGAATTTCATTCTCAAATCTTTCCAAAGGTAGTGTGAGCTAGCTAAAATATTTCAGTAAATTTAGTTTTCTGCTTAAACTATCCATAGTTGGTTTCTGTTGTTTGCATTTAGGAACAATAAGTAACAGAATTAAAGCAGAGAAGAGCAGATTCAGGAGATGGAAAGAGACCAGGTCCTAGAGATCTGTTATGGGTTCTCAGATCCAGCCACACCTGAAGCCAGAACCCCTTGCTGCTTCATTTATATGAAGTGATGAATTCTCATTTTCTTCAAGCCAATTTGAGTTGGATTTTTGAAGCTTGCCTTCAAATACAGATACTCCTCCACTTACAAGGGGGTTATATCTCGATAACCCCCTTGTAAGTGGGAAATATTGTAAGTAAAGTTCAACTTATGGTATTTTCCACTTACAATGGGTTTATCCAGAGGTAACCACATCATAAGTTGAGGAGTGTACTGAAGGCATATGGTTTTGGCACCATTGTAAAGTAGAAAAATCTAAGTTGAACCTTCATAAATTAGAGACCATCTATAATCTCAATTGTTGTCACCCTTATCTATTATTATGTCCTGTATATGTTTTTTAATGATTTTGACATAAAAGTTAAAATGAATAATACATTTTTAAAAACCCATTTAATTCTCTCAGAGGCTATTTATTTCTGTGATCCAAGATTTTTTTTTTTTTTTAAACAGGCCAGGCATCTGTTTAATGTTTAATATCAGATGAAGCCAGAAAAGAATTTGACAGTATTAATTTCATTTTTATCCTTGCAAAATTTTGTTTTAGCTTTTTAAAAAATTTAACATATTTAATTGTCGAAAGTGAAATTAAATGTATGATTTCTCTAATTGATTTCTAAAGTTTTATTAACCCATAAACAAGCTAGATACTAATTATTTATATTTAAGCTTTAAACTTCACATGGTTGCATACACTTTTTGTAGTAATCTGCCTACATTGTATTATAAAAATAGAAATTACACATTCAGTCAAATGGATGTTTTCCTTCTAGTGGAAGTGTTTCTAGAGTACATATTGTAATTTACTAAAATGTTTGACATCAAATTCCTTTTTCTGTCATTATAATTTCTGGCACATGCATTTCACATAAATGTTGGTCAAAGGATGTTTCTAGCACCCCTCCCACCCCAAAAGTTGCTGCTTCTCAATGTTTGTGAAACAAAATTATATGCCTTTCTTTTTCAGAGCTGGGTCATATGGGCTAGTGAGTTTACTCATTGGCATGTGATTTGGACTTTCATCAAACCAGCTAACCAAGATGAAAATGTCAACTTATTTGAATGAACACGTCTGTGTTACTTAAAAAAAAAAAAAAGCATGTTGGCATAACATACACAAACACGATATTGGATTTATTTTTATTCTTTGGACTTAAAAATGTAGTCGATTCTTATCATTACAAAAGAAAAGATGAATATTTTTAAAAAGAGTGAAATTATAGAAACATTCAAAAGAAAAAAAGTATCCAGAATATTACTATCAGACATAACCATTGTTATTTTGGAATATTATCTTTAAATCTTTTAACTAGACATATATTTTAATATTCCTTTTCATTTTTGAGATAATTATGTCCACATAGTTTTATATAATGCTTTTTAATTAACTTCATAATAAAATAGTTGTAAAGCATTAATTTGGCATCATCTGCAATTTGGATGAAATTATTCCATTGCATGACATTGTTACATTGTTTGTGAACATGAGAATTTATAAAATTATGGAATTATAATTTTAATTTTATAATTATAGGTCTAGAATAAAGTCTTAATTTTTATAATCAAATTATATGTTTGGCTTAAAATACATTATAATTTCACTTAATTTTGCAGATTACCATGAGTGGTATATAAAAATGGTAGCATTAGCTTTATTTGTGGGTAGGGAGTTGGCGGGGGGTGGTGCCTGTATGATAGAATACACACTACACAGTCAAGAGACTTGAGTGTCTAAAGCCTGGCTCCCTTCAAAAGCAATGAACTCTGTGATCTTGGCCAAGTGACCCTGAGTTTTAATTTCTTTAGCTGACAGTTAGGGGATGAAATTAGATCAGGGGTTCCCAAGCTATAGTCTGTGGATCAGTGTTCATTTTAGACAAAGTTCTATCCAGTCTGTGATAAAAGGGAAAACAAGTCAGTAAGTTTATCAGATAACAAAACTTATTTAAATATATTTTCTCTCTTTTTCACCCCCTAAGGTTATAGCCTTCTCAGGAACCTTAGATTATGACCCCTTCTGACTCTAAAATTCTGAAGCTATAAAGTAAGGTCTTAGGGACTCGAGAAGTAAAATATCAACTTAGTTAGAGGGTCAGAAAGACAAAAAATAAAAAGAAAACATAAAATATGTCATGAAGACAGAGAAAGAAGTTATTTGTGGTGTTTTAGCAATTTTGAATTTTTAACGTTATCTGGTGCTCTGTAAAGACAATAGAGGCAAGTTGACTGCAGTTATAGAATGCAACTTCCTGTTCTGCTGGTGAAACTTCAGCCTCAATTCCTGGCAGAGGTTAACATTTAACACGACCTTAGTTGGGCCTTCCAATTTTTCTCATGGTTAGATAGAGAGAGATTATTTAAATCAGCTTTACTAGTCTCATTTTACATTTTAATCTGATAAAACACGGTGACCAGAAAGCCAGATCCGATGGAAGGAGGAAGGGGACGTTTGCTTTTCCTTCTTATTTCCATTAGCTTTATGTCCTTATAGCTCTAGAGCACATAAAGCTAGGGAAATATGGGTTTTCTTACATAGCTGGTTTTAAAATACTGCTTTGCAACTCAGTATGTGTAAAAACCAGTCAGTAGTGCATTGATAGATGACTCTTTAGTGAGTTTGGAAGTGAAATTATAGCTGTGAGGACACATTTGCAGGCAAATGCTGGGGTGTGTTTAAAAAGCTGTATGCCCAGGGTTCAAATCAGGGCTCTGGTGGCTGCATTTGGGTAGATGAGTCATTCATCTGTCGTGACCTCTGGAGTTATCCTCATTCAGACAGTTTTCAGATTCATTCACGTAGACATGATATGTGTATGTCTTGAGGATAATAATCAAGAGCTTCCCCCTTTATCATGAATTACAGAAAGGATTTATAAACCTTAAGTAGAGTTTGAAATATTTTTCCAAACCAAAATAATATATTTACTTTTATCTACAACACTATGTTTTTGTAGTCTTCCAAATATTTCCCTCTAATTGCTTTTGTGCTGAGTTCTTCACTTTGATTGATGTGATTCAATTCTGTATGGAAGGCATAGCTCATTATTAAAGATCTGGAAATATACTGATAAAATATAATTGATTCTCATTTTAAAGTTTCACGTTTTATTTTCTCATTCATTAGGAGTAACTTCTTACACAGCTTCTGTTTTTGCAGATGCATAACATAAATAGGTTTCAATTTCCTAGTTTCTCTCTTTTTAAATGTGGGCGACAGAAGATGTGAATTTAATTCCTTCTGGTCCCTCATTCTGTCCAGGGTTTCCATTCATGTGGTTGTTCATAAGCATTATAGGCACACTTGGCTTTTGGGCATAAATTTATTCCCTACTCAACAATAGAAATGATTTTTCTCTGAACTGGGACTGTGGAATCGATGGCTCTGGTTAAATGATGTCTTTGTCTGAGTCTCACTTTTTAATGTTTACCTCAGTTGCTTTTCCATTAACTCTAAGTTGCAGGGCACCTTTGTTCAAGGGCACTTTTGTAGAGGTAAACAAAGTTGGCTGGAGGGCACACAGACAGAAGTGATATCAAAGAGAGTCACATGTCTGGTGCTCCAGCTGCTGCAGCATTCAGGAGGCAAATTCCAAGAATGGGTCAATTTTATCAGTGTTTAAGAGAATAAAGAAATGTTAGAAGACTCCCAGAACCTGGCCCCACATCTATTTTCAATCTGCTTTGTTCGTGGCAAAGGGCATTCTAAAAAACAGGCAAGACAAGCGGTGAAGCAATCAGCTATAAATAGTAGAGCCTCTGTTTGTTTGAAGACAGTGTGTTCTGTCAAGGACTGCGAATATTTGGGTTCTTGCAAAGAACTGTGTCTAATTTTACTCAAATTTGCAAGTATAGATGAGAAAATCAAAGAAAAAAGTGCCCAAGAGAACATAGCACATCATACCGGTGTTTAATGTTCTGTTTCATTTTGGTTTTTTGTTCTAGTCACAGGGCGGAAAATTTCCACTTTGCCTAGATTGTCTGCTGTTGCAGGGCTGCTCCACAAACTCCATTCACTTTACGGAGCATCTGCCACATGCCAGAAACGAAGGCATGAGCATCAGAAACACAAAAGAAACATTCCCACCCATAGCCTTGCAGAGGAGAAAGGCAAGAGAACTGAGAATTCTAACTTACAATCCCACGTGCTGAGTGCTACAAAGAGGGTGATGTGGAAAGAAAGGTGAGGACTTAGGGTAACTAACTCATCCTGGTTTGTCTGGCAGTTTTCTGGTTTTAACACTGAAAGTCTTGTGTTCTGGGAACCCCCTTAGTCCCAAGCAAACCCAGACAGTTGTATTAGTGAGGTACTCAGTGGGAATTGCTGGAGGAAGTAATGGGATTGGGGAGGGAATAGGATGTTAGAAAATTTCCCAGAAAAGAAGAAATGTTTAAGCTGCATCTGAAAGGCTGAGGTAGAAAAAGATAGGTATGCTAGGCAGAATAATGGCTCCCGAAAATAAGCAGGGACTAATCATTAGAGCCTGTGAATGTTATCTTATATCGCAAAAGGGATTTTGCAAATGTGATTAAATTAAGATCTTGAGACAGAGTGTTCTGGATTATCTGGGTGGGCTTCTCTGTAAACATAAATGTTCTTATAAAAAGGAGATAATCCTGCTAACAGAGAAGCAGACAGTGGAAGAGGTGACAATGGAAGCAGGAGGTCAGAGGAAGGGGTCACCAGCCCTGGAATGCCCGTGGTCTCCAGAAGGTAGGAAAGGCAAGGAAATAGATTCTCCCCCAGAGCAGCCAGAAGGAGCTGGCCTTGGAACACCTTGACTTTAGCTGAGTGAAACTGATTTCTGGTTTCTGGCCTGTAGATGGTAAGAAAATAAGTGAGTTGCTGGGTTTTTTTTTTTTTTTTTTTTTTTTTTGAGATGGAGTCTCGCTCTGTCGCCCAGGCTGGAGTGCAGTGGTGTGATCTCCATTCTCCTGCCTCAGCCTCCTGAGTCGCTGGGACTACAGGCGCCCGCCACCACGCCCTGCTGATTTCTTGCACTTCTAGTAGAGACGGGGTTTCACCTTGTTAGCCAGGATGGTCTTGATCTTCTGACCTCATGATCCACCTGCCTCAGCCTCCCAAAGTGCTAGGATTACAGGCATGAGCCACAGCGCCTGGCCGTAAGTGCTGTTTTAAGCCACTAAGCTTGCAGTGATTTGTGTCAGCAGCAACAGGAGATGAATACAGGAGGGAATGTGGGGAAGGGCAATCTAGGCAGGAGGCTAGCATGACAAAACCTGTAAGAGGGCAAGGGATGTTCAGGATACCACAGGCAGTCAGGGTGTCTGCAGTGAAGCATGCATGGAAACACAGTAGGAGAGGAAGCTCCGGAGAAAGGTAGAGGCTGGGCTGTGAAAGAGTTTTTCCTCCATATTGAAGACAATGAAGACATACTCAATGCTTTAAAGCAGGGCCATAATGTGATTATATTTCATTTTGGAAAAGTCTTTTTGGTAACAGGATGGGAAAGTAGATAATTGTGAGGAGGAAGTAGATTCAAAGAAGCAGATAAATCCACTTAGATTTGATTGATTGGAATGATTACATTGTCCAGGCAAGAAAAGATAGGACTCCTGATGGCCAAAGGGGACGAAAAACGGGGCAGTTTCTAGAGATTCTTAGGAGGTGGATTATACAGGACTTGGTGTCCACCAAGTGAGGCAAAGAAAAGGTTGAAATTTTCATTTGGGTGCCTTGGAGGATGGGGCTGTCAATGCAGAGATGGGAATACAGGAGGAGCAGTGTGTATACAGGCTGTGGGTGGGAACGATGGGTTAGCTTTCAGGATTACAGAGGAATGAAATGCTTTCAAATGAGTGCATCTTTGTTCCATTCAAAAATTGAATGCCACTGATAATCATCGGGCACCTCTGAAGATGTGAAAGATTAAAATTACATTTTAAAAGCCTAAGTTACAGGCCAAACGTGATGGCTCACACCTGTAATCCCAGCACTTTGGAAAGCCGAGGTGGGAGGCTTCCTTGAGGCTAGGGAGTGTGAGCAAGACCCCGTCTAAGTTATGGTATTACATCACAAAAATACCACGATTTCTGTACTTAAAAATACCATAGAATACTAAAAACAGGTATTCTAGTCACCATTATTTCATTTTTGACTTTTGGAAACACACTTCTATTTCAAGGTTCTACTTTTCCCTTTTCCTCCACTGGAATAAAAATATCCTGTATTGTAGATATTTTTATATTTATCTTATTTCTTCATTTAGGGAGATAAGCTTCTGAAAACCAGGACCACGTTACATTCAACTTTGTGTCCTCACAACCTAGTACAGGATCTGCACATAGTTGTGCTTAATCAATATTTGTTGAATTCAACTATTTACTATTGTTCTTCCTCATAGTAGAGCTGACTTTACATTTCCCAATGCCTTATCATGTCTTTCTCATCACATCTAGTTGCTGAAGTCACTTGGATATAAAGGCATAAGGCACATCTTTGGTCATGATGAGAATAAAAATCCAGTTTGGTGACATACCAAGGCTCCTTTATGAATTTTCCACTGTTGTCAGGTTGTTTTCAAAGTGATAAAAATTTCCACACATTAAAGAAAAATTTGACCAAGAATTTTTCTTTCATCTCTTTAGCACTCTTCCCATGAACCACAGAGAAAAACTATAGCAGTAGATAAGATAATGCATAGCTTTCCTTAAAGATGATTTATAAGTACAGGGTGGAGTGGTTCGGTAAGTAGTTATTTTGTACAAGTGTCAATAAAGAATGTGCCTTTTTGCTTGGGGCTGTTAGAGGTAGAATTGTTGGTTGAAGTATTGCAGAATGTGCCCTTATTTGGAAATAGGGTCTTGTTTGTTTTTGTTTTGAGACAGAGTTTTGCTCTTCTTACCCAGGCTGGAGTGCAATGGCACGATTTTGGCTCACTGCAACCTCCACCTCCAGGGTCTGAGCAATTCTACTGCCTCAGTCTCCCAAGTAGCTGGGATTACAGGTATATCTACCACGCCTGGCTAATTTTGTATTTTTAGTAGAGATGGGGTTTCTCCATGATGGTCAGGCTGGTCTCAAACTCCCAACCTCAGGTGATCCGCCCGCCTCAGCATCCCAAAGTGCCAGGATTACATGCATGAGCCACTGCACCCGGCATGGAAATAGAGTCTTTACCCAGAGGTAATCAATGTAAAACGAGGTCACTAAGAATAGCCCTAATCTAATACGACTAGTGTCTTTGTAAAAAGGAGAAATTTGGACACAGAGCCTGATGCACAGAGGGAAGATGATCTGTGAACTTGGAGGATGGGAATGATGCACCTCTAAGCCAAGGGGCACCAAACATTGCCAGAGAACCACTGGAGTCTAGGAAAAGCCAGGGGAAGATGCTTCCTCTGCAGGTTTCTGAGGGAGTATGACCCTGCCGACTCTTGAGTTTGGACTTCTAGCCTCCAGAATTGAGAGACAGATATTTCTGTTATTTAGTCATTATCCAATTTGTGGCACTTTTGGTGATAGCTCTAGCACACTCATATGGGGGATCATAGACTGTATACCAGCACCTCATCCTACCACGTTTTTTTTTTTTTTTTTTGACTTGAAATATCTTAGAATAAAAGCATATGTTGACAGTTCCAAATTCAAAGAAAGTTAGCAAAGTTTAAATATTTCTGTTTAGGACAGGAAAAGAATCAGTTTGGCTGTTAAACGAATAAACATTGAAAAATAGTGAAAATTTTTGCTAAACAGAACTGGCAGTCATGCCAGTAGAGCCTATCATTGCTCTATTCATACCTGGGGGAAATTTTCTAGATATGACTGGCAGCCATGAGATGCCATCACAGAATAGAGATGGGATTTTATTTTTTATGTAAGGTGCAGAGACTGACAATCTTAATAATCACTTAAACTAAGATTGCTTATGGTCATTTGTGTAAGAAGTACTATATTTCCATTTCACTATACACCTCACATTTGCAGCTAGTTATCTAATATGTCTTTCCTGCAATTTTGAAGATGTCAAGATGTTAAGGACCATGTGTGACTTGTTCCTGGCTGTATCCCTGTGCCAGTGGGTGTCCCAGGCATCAGTGGTTGTGAGAGGAAGGAACAGAGGCAAAGAGGATGGGAGAGAGCAGAAGAGAAGAATCAAATTTGGTTTTATTCTACATTTAAAATCTTCACATTTTTCCATCACAATATATGGCAGTATTTCAATCTAATTCTTTTCAAAAATAATATTGTGCCATATTTAAAAATTTGTTTTTATTTTTTCTGAAGTAAAGATATTTTTATTTTCTCAGAATGGGATTAAGAGCCTATGATATGATTGTTCCATTAGAATATTAGTTATTTATAATATTACATTTTCTATTTTATTTTTTGAGCATTATATTTCAATCTCTATTCTCTCTCTGCCAACTATCTTGTAAATGTCCCCACAAGGGAGATGTTATAGATAAATAATTGTGAGAAAAAATAATTGTAAACAAATCCCTATGGGTCTATAGGCACTTTGTCATATTAAAGGAAAAGGGCACAGGGATATATTTCAATTTGAGAATCAGGTTACCTATTTGCATTCTGCCACCCTGAATAAAGGTGCTTTGACACTGAGTAAAGCTCTTTAAGCACAGTTTTATTCTTTGGAATAAAAACTTCTCAACAAACATTTTGCATTGATTACCTGATAACCATCTTTAAATGTTATGAACATCTGGGAATAAAAAATTCTGTCTGATTGCAAAGTGCTATATTGCTTGTGTTTCTGTATAAAACTCATTCAGGAGATTGTTTCTTCTCAGCATTAAAAAAAATAAAGCCAGCATCAGCATTCTGCAAAAGGACCAGGCACAGTGGCTGGTCCTTCCCGGCACTTTGGAAGAATGAGGCAGGCAGCTCACTTGAGCCCAGGAGTTCAAGACCAGTCTGGGAAACATGGCAAACCCTGTCTCTACAAAAAATATAAGAATTAGCTGCTATGGTGGCATGCACCTGTAGTACCAGCTACTTGGGAGACTGAGGCTGGAGAATCACCTGAGTCCAGGAGGTCAAGTCTGCAATGAGCCAAAATGTAGACCTTTAAAATGATGACTTTCCCGTTTGAATCAGTCTTCAGGGAAGACTATGCATTCATTTAAATTAGGTTAATAGTGTTTAAAACATGGCTGAAACTTCTCTTTTCAATTGCAGTCAAAGCTGTTTCTCATTCTTTGAATATCCTCTTTGATGGCAAGTTTTTATACTCATAATATTTAAATTAAATATTTAATTTGATATTAAAAATGGCTTAAATGCCAGGCATGGTGGCTTATGCCTGTAATCCCAGCACTTTGGGAGGCCAAGGCCAGAGGATCACTTGAGTTCGAGGCCAGCCTGGCCAACATGGTGAAACCCTGTCTCTACTAAAAATACAAAAATTAGCTGAGCATGGTGGTGCATGCT
Organism: Homo sapiens; assembly: GCF_000001405.40. Lineage (NCBI taxonomy): Eukaryota > Metazoa > Chordata > Mammalia > Primates > Hominidae > Homo > Homo sapiens. The sequence continues at coordinate 87,905,666 of NC_000004.12, read as the reverse complement.
TGCAATCTCAGCTACTTGAGAGGCTGAGGCATGAGAATCGCTTGAACCCGGGAGGCAGAGGTTGCAGTTAGCTGAGATGGCATCATTGCACTCCAGTCTGGGCAACAGCATGAGATTCTGTCTCGGGAAAAAAAAAAAAAAAGGGCTAAAAGTCACTGTAACCAAATATAACTAATGAGGTGTCACTATAACCAAATATAACTAATGAGGTGTCACTATAAAATGACACTTTCTGGTATGCTCATGTAATAGCTCTGAATGTTACTTCCAAAAGTTGTTTCAGAAACAGGCAGGATCAACATATTGAGATTAAAGGTAAAATCACCCATGGTTATCCTCTGGAAATAAAACATTTACTTATACTTCTATATCATGATGTATTAGTAAGATAAAATCTTATTGCTATATGGTTATAACTCTTGTTCATGACAGATGATGTGAAACTCAGGAACAAAATGAGAAAAATGTGCTCTAGTGAAAGTCTAAGGGTGCTCTTCATCTCCAGGCCTGCAACATACAACAAATACATTCCCTTCTTTTCCTATGAACAGAAGAGGTGGTTTGGGATAAACATAATGAGAGTCTTAGAAAAGCAGGCATATGTGTGTGTGTGTTTCTTCCTTTGAGGTCGAGGTGAGCTCACAAGAGAAAACATGCCTCATGCCATTGATACTGTAGTCTCTAGCTCTAGGGTTGCCCTGGGATTTCCATAGACTTCAAAATGCTCAAGGCATCTGGGGGATTGATTGTTTTGCGCACTGGCGGTCAGCAGTCTGCTCTCGTAGACTGGAAAATGGACTGAGTGCTCCTTTCCATGCCTGGCCAGCAACAGCACCACTTGCATTCCTGTCCTGTGGGAAAGCATATGGGAGTACCTCATAGCCTACAGGCCTAGAGCAATGTAGCAGTTGCATCTGATCATGTAACCTCACTGAAGCTGTCGTGTGTAGTCCAGTCTCAGTTTGGTGTGCTGTCCAAGGAGCACAGTTCTTAACCGAACATATTTGAAAAGTTAATATGTTCATTGTATAATTTGCAATGCATTAAAGTGAATACTTATGGCCCTTCTGGAATATTTCTGGGATCCCTGTTCTTTCACACCTTATACTCTTTGACACGAATTATAGATTCTCATTTGCCAACTGCAATTCCCCCTCTCCTGCTAGGCCCTTCCATTCCTCTTGCCTCTTGGGTTCTGCAGTATTCTGTTTGTTCTCCAATTCTGCATCCCAAAAGATTAGAAAACAGTTTTGCAGAGATAAGCTGACTTTAGGGAAAGTGAATAGAAATTGGCCTGATAAACTGGAAGTCAATGGACATACCAATAATTGTTATTGTGTTTAGTTTGTAATTTTAGCTTACAAATTCTAGTGTCTGTGCTGAGCTCCCATTGTGACTCGATATGTTCTTTCTATTTCCTACAATGTCCTAGCTACCCCATCCTCACAGTATTTTTGGCTGTGATTGTTGTTTATATGATATCCTTTTAATTCTCCTGCATCTCTGACCTCTCTCTATTTCACTGCATTGTCGACTTCTTGCCTCATAATTTAGTTTGTCTCCTCAGATTCAAGCCTCATGTCCTCTGCCTTGTCTTGCATTGTCTGATTGCAGGGGTAGGGACAAAAGCGAAAGATAAGACAAGGGCAGAGGAGAGGCAGGGACACAATAAAGGAAGATGCCTCAATTTAGGCTGGGGAGAGTCTGCATGCAAGGCAGGCAGGTGTCGACGCAGAGATCAGGAGGCGAGGATGGAAGATTTGCCTCTAGGGAAGATACTCTAAGAGCTCTGCTGTGGTTTCCCAGAGCAGTTTTTAAAAAAGGATCCTGAAACTGACTTGAAGAATGGATGCATCATTGGAATAATCACATAGCCTTTCAAGGATTCTACTTTGAAGGTGTCAACACCATTGAAAGCTAGACATTTTGCTGTATTTCAGAGAAGAATCACTTCTGTGACTTTATAGCCATATCTCCTACATCTGTGCTATTGTTCTTCATATCTGAAATAGAGGTTGATAGTCATCACTAATGATGCAGATGGAGCTTTGTTTTTTTAAATATGTAGTATACCTTGAGGCCAGGCGTGGTGGTTCATGCCTGTAATCCCAGCACCGTGGGAGGCTGAGGCAGGTGGATCACTTGAGGCCAGGAGTTCGAGACCAGCCTGGCTAACATGGCAAAACCCTGTCCCTACTAAAAATACAAAAATTAGCCGAGTGTGGTGGCACACCCCTCTAGTCCCAGCTACTCAGGAGGCTGAGGCAGTAGAATCGCTTGAACCCAGGAAGCAGAGGTTGCAGTGAACTGAGATCGCACCAGTGCACTCCAGCCTGAGGGGGCGACAGAGCAAGACTCTGCCTCAAAAAAAAAACAAAAACAAAAACAAACAACAACAAAAAACGACAGCAACAAAAAAACTGTATACCTGAAAGATTAGATAAGGAGCCAAGGCACTAACACATTTCCAAAATATATTATTTTCTTTAGTAACTAGGGAACTTAAATTCTCTAGACTTTACTTTTTCATGCAGGCTATTAAGGGTCCTAGTTTCGTGCCCTAGTGAAAAAATTTGGGGGTCCTTCAGCAAGAGTCAAAAGGTTAAAATAGGCAACAAAAGAGCTTTCATATGGACAGTTCTCAGGAACCTGAAAAAGCAAGCCCTCATCTCTTCAGCCCTGTCTCTCACTGTTTCTCAGAAACAACATCTTTTTTTGGTCTTTACTTTCACATCTGAAGCAAATATCTTTTGACTGCCTTTTACCCACTCAAATCTCTCCATACTTTAAGGTCCAGATCAAGTCTAAACTCTCCCAAGACTCATGTTGACTGCTCCAGTTCACATTAATAGGTTCTCTGAACTCCTATGGAAGATTTCGATTTTTTCATCAATTCTACTCATCCTAGAGTTGTGCCATGGGTGTCAGTTTTGTCTTGCTAATCAACCATATGACAGCGATTTCTGAGGAATGGGATTATTGTGCACCTTTTGTATTCTCTGCCCATCTAAACCTACTCAACACATTATATAATAAGTCTTCAGTCAATACTAGCCAACTATAGTTAATCAACAAATAAAATACCATCCCAGAGCCCAAGATAAAAGAATGTTCTTTGGTAATAAGGAGTTGATAAGGGTCAAAATCTTGGGAGAGCTATTCAAGATCTGAGCTAGGAAAAGCTAAATATTTTGTGTGGTTAATGTAAGGCATACCTCAGACAGGAAACATAAACCACAGTTATTTTTTAGAAAGATTTCTTCCACATAAGCTCCATGTTGAGAAATTGTTGCACCTAATTATTGGTTAACCTGCTTTTCAACAAGAAAACAAATTTGATACCTGCAGAGAATCAATCATGAAAGATTTTACTTCATGAGATTTGGGACTTTCAGCAAGCTCATTTTGGGAAGTTCATTTTCCTCATGAGGAAAAGAGAGAATCCCTTGGTTCAACAACCTGGTGTCTTGACACTGCATGCACAAAGTGTAAATGTGGGAAGACATAATACATCAGGCAGAATTGGAAGGTGAAAAGACCAGGAGAAGCTCTGCAAATTTCTAATTTGACCCAATTTTTCTTACACAGTGATAACTGCTACCCAGATTTAAGATTCAACTAAACCTCAAGCTGTTAAGACATTACATTTACTCATAAAAATGATCGAATGGAATATTTATCAGCTTAATGGGTATTGTGTGAAAGTTAAACACAAAACAGACAAAGATCTAGAATGCAACAGTCATCTATACAGGGCAAGGAGACAACAAAAATAAGGTTTAATTAATACCAAAATTAAGACTGTATAGTATGCACAAACAAAGTGTTGAAAGTGTTTTATGAATCATTGGCTTATACATATCTGCATGGAAGAGCTGGGAAAAAGCGTTGCTCTTCTTTCTATTTCTTTAAAGGGGAGCCTCTGAGACACAGGGATCATTTTTGTTTTGGTAGGTGGAGTTCACTAACCAAAATGACAACAAACTCTGGGAAATGGGCACTTACTCCATGGCATCTGTTCAAACCTCCTAAAACCAGGCATGTTTTCCTGTCTGATGTATAAGCCACCCAGGCAAAAATTAAAAGCAGATGCTCCATGGTTTTTTGAGGATATTTATAGCTCAGAGTCTATACTTTCTGGTAATCTCTATACAGCAGAACATTCTGAAGAGATAGTGAACATTTTGCAATAATGAATACCCAATTCTAGTAGATTTCAATTTCTCTGTTTTGGAATTATTCTACATATCTTCTTTCCTCAGTGGGAAAAAGTATCTTTGCAAAAGGAACTTGTGGTATTTTCCATACTACATATGCCCTAATTACACAATCACAAGATTTGATATGTGAACTAAAAGCAAGAAGGATGGTTTTATTTTTATGTCCTGAACTCCCTCTCTTGTTAAATTCATGCATTTTGGTTTAGTCTGTTCTTCAGAGCAATCACTTGAAATATGAAACACAGCAACATTTATAAATTGGAATGGAAAACATTACGGTTTCCATCGGAGGAAATAAACATTGAAGGAAGTAAATCTATTCTACCAAGATGCATTGTGTGTTATGTGCATAGAGCAGGTACTATGGAGATTAAACAAAGAAGCACAATTGTTGTTCTTTGGCTTCAATGAACTTGAAATTGTTGTGGAGAGAGTGATTCAGTGCAGAAAACTGAATTTAATAATAGAAAATAATACAGCAGGTGTTGACTACATGTATACAGAAAATGATAATCCTGGGCAGATATTTTAATATACCCTGAAATAGTCGCCTTTGATATTAAACACAGAGTAGTCTCATAATTCAGGAATGAATTATGGAACAATGGACAATGAAAGTGAATTAACTGACTGAGAAAATGCCCATATCTTAAAAGGGCTAATGCCCTGAACTAAGAGCCATGAACACAGGAGGAATGAGATCCCATAGAGAGGCGATGTACTCACTAAAGTGGGTCCAACTTATTTGTCTTCTGAAGCAATCTTAGAGTTCCCTTTCTACAAAATAATACTTGTCCCCTATTTTTTGAAGCTTTATTTCTAGGTAACACTTCTATCCCTTGAATAGATTCTTCTATCTCCTCCTTTCCTTCCCTAAACCCTACTTCCCTCCATGAAGCACTTCCTACCAAAGGAGAGATGGTAATGAGGCCATCTCCACCGACAGGTGACTGATTGAAATAAGCTTGCCCTTAACTGGCTTCACTCACCACTACGCAAAACGCTCTCTCCACTTTTCTTGAACACAATACCACTTTGGAAGTAGTTCGTGGTTTTTCTGTTTAGTTGTCTTTCCACTTTTCTGTCAGTATTAGTGTTTCCAATGAGACAATCGTGAGCTCTTTCTAATTTTTAACATGGTATCCATTAAATGGATTAATGCTTCAAGTGATGATTGAGGTTATGAATAAATATTGTGCCTTAGAAGTTTAAAATGGAAGTATTATTTTAACATTTGTAAGTCTTAGCAGGGCTTATTGAGAAAGCGTCCAACCCTAAAGTAAAATACAAGTGTTGTCTTTCTGCAAAATGAGATGTTTCAAACATTTTCTCTTCAGCAACTCAACTCAGAATTTTTGAATATGTTAATGAAAATGATTCAGGAGAAGTAAAAAATTGGGTAAAGTAGGGGAACGGAGGGGAGTGATGGAACCTCGAAGCATTCTACAGACACATTTGTGACAGCAGAATCATAAAACTACCTGCAAATTACCTACAGACTTCAGTGATCCCCAAAGCCTCTACGCTTAAACATGTCCATTCTGTTTCTTCTTGTCAGAAAATTAAGCCTCCATGGAAATCAGGGCAAAAGTTGCTCCTGTACCCTCTCCGTCACTCTCCATTTCTTTTTTTTTTCTTTTTTTTTTGAGATGGAGTCTCGCTCTGTTGCCCAGGCTGGAGTGCAGTGGCTCTATCTGGGCTCACAGCAAGCTCCGCCTCCTGGCTTCATGCCATTCTCCTGCCTCAGCCTCCCAAGTAGCTGGGACCACAGGCACCCGCCACCACGCCAGGCTAATTTTTTGTATTTTTAGTAGAGATGGGGTTTCACCGTATAAGCCAGGATGGTCTCGATCTCCTGACCTCGTGGTCTACCCGCCTCAGCCTCCCAAAATGCTGGGATTACAGGCATGAGCCACCACACCCGACCCCTCACTCTCCATTTCTTATTGGTCAACAAAATGTACCTCAGAGAGGTCCACAGAAAGCACAGCTCCTGAGGTAGCTGATCCCCTTTATTTATTTATTTATTTATTTATATTTTTGGTTTTGAGACAGGGTCTCACTCTGTTGCTCAGGCTGGAGTGCAGTGGCGTGACCTCAGCTCACTGCAGCCACAATCTCATGGGCTCAAGCAATCCTCTCACCTCAGCCTCCCAAGTAGCTGGGAATACAGGCACATGCCACCACATTTGGCTAATTTTTGTATTTTTTGTAGAGACAGGGTTTCGTCATGTTGCCCAGGCTGGTCTGAAACTCCTGGGCTCAAGCAATCCACCTGCTTCGGCCTCCCAAAGTGCTGGGATTGCAGGCACGAGCCATTGTACCTGGCCCACCTTTTAGTTTTACTGGACTCTAAAATGATATGAGGAATTTCTTTATCTGAACTTATTTTTCCACTGGGTTTTATCTGTTGGAAGTTACTAGTAAGAAATCCCCACCAACCAAAAAAAGGAAAAGGTTTGCTCTTTGTGTGGGAATTGCTTAGGCTATGGATTCAAGTTTGTGTGTTTATAGCCTGTCTTTTGCTTCTTCTGAGTTATTTGGCCATAGACAACTTACTTAACTTTATCTTGCTTCAGTTTATTTATCTGTGAAATAGAAATAAAATAATAAAATAAGGAATCATTTTATTAACCATAGACACTGAACTCCAGCCTTACTCTCTTATTCTTTTTATAACTTGTTACTTGTCTTCGGAAAGTATGGATTACCCTAGTACAGCTTAGAAGCTAGTGTTAGGGAGCCCTGCTTTCCTTAGGTGATCAGGTCCTAAAGATGAAGTTGATAAGGGGTCTTAGGACGCACAGATGGTGTCAGTGTGAATTACTAAGCGCTACCTTCTGTCCATTGCCCAGTGGAGAACCCTTCTAGTCAGTGAAAAACAAGGATGCTCAAAGATGCCCGTTTCACAATATGAATTCACCTTGGATGTTGGTAGCTCTGTCGTGTGAGTCTGTGACACTGTTGTCATGTGTTACTGATCCTACCACAGTAATAGTACCTCTGGGTCCACCATTCTGCCTTTATAGAGTTTTCTCTCTTATTTGGAATAATGTATCAATGAAAGATCTCTAGGTTAATAACCTTGAGTCTTTTCTTTGTCTATCAAAACTTCAAATCTACAAGAATGATAGTATTCTCTTAAACATACTGGTAATAGTAGTTGTTGATATACAATAATAGCAGTGCTATAAGTAGCTGAGAATTATGTTTCCCTCACTTTGTCAGATCCATTGCTTTGTATAGGTTAATTCTTTTATTCCTTGTGACTCTCTCTGAAGAAGGTACTATTTTAGCCACCATTTATAGGCGAGGAAACTGTGGCACAGATTGGTTAGCAATGTGCCCAAGTCATCCAGCTAGTAAGTGGAAGCTAGTAAGCTAGGAACTGGGATTTGAATCCAGGATATCTGGTCCCCAGGTTTTTACTCTTAGCCTCTAAGATGCATCACTTCTTTGTTAATAATGATACATGCTATTTATGGTATGTTTATTTTATGCATGTCACTGTTTTAAGTAGTTTGTATGCAATATTTTATCTGTTCTTTGTAACTATCTTGTGAGGGAGGTTTCTGCTTCAATTTTTCAGATGAGAAAACTAAGGCTAAAAAAGTGAAATATTCTAACCAAAGTCACATAGCTAGGAAGTAGGAGAGCCAGCATTCCTCAAAGCCCCTAAGCTTAACCTATGAGCAAAATTGTCCTAGGTATATGGTGCTAGTTTCTTCCAAATTGAGTGGAAAATTCCATTTAAGTCATTTATATTTTTTTTAATAACCTTTCCTTAAAGTCATGTCAGGAACATGTCTTTAAAATTATCTGAGGTAAACACTTTTTTTGAAATTCACATATTTATAATTGGTGGGAAAATACTTTCTGGGTAGGGAGGGATTGGTATGTTCACAAACAAATATTTGGGGCATGTGTGGAGAATTGTGAGCTATGTATTTTGACTGGAGACTGTGGAGGGTGATAAATGTTGAAATTAGACAAGATATAAGCCTGGAGAGGTGGGATGTGGCCAAGTCATGTAGGGTCTTGAAAGTCTCATTTGGAGTCATAATGCGCTCCACTGACAGTGAGGGACCCGTTGAGCTCTGTGCAGGACCGGGGTTCCAGCCGACTGAGGGAGATTCCTGGGATGGTGGTGCGAAAGCCAGGTGGAAGCAGAGAAGCAGAAGTAGAAAGATTAGGTAAAAGGTTATTGCACAGTTTTTGTAAATCCACCAGAAGACATGCAAGAATGTTTATGGTATCTCATTCATAATAGCAGCTTTTTTCATAAAACCCAGAGAATAGAAAAATCATATAGTGACAAAAAAGAACAAACTGCTGCTATATACAACAATAGGAATGAGTTCCACAAATATAAGACTGAGGGAAAGAAGCCAGACACAAAAAAAGTAGGTGCTACAGTCCAATGACGAGAAGGTCAAGAAACAAGATTTGTTTCAGGGGAAACAAATGTATGGCTAGAGAAGGCAGAACAATTACCTCTGTGAGGACAGATGGTGCATATTGACAGGGAAGGAACATGAGTGTTCTGGATGTTGGATGTGTTGTATCTTTTGATGGTGGTGGGATTACATGGTTTTCATACACACAACACACATACATAGATAAATGTATACCTACATAGATATGTAAAAATTCAGTGAGTTGCATATTATGATTTGTACACCATACAGTGCATCGTGTACATACACCTGAATAAGAAGATTTTTTAAAAAATTACTGTATAGTTCCATCAATTCTATTAATAATTGTAGAAACTTCCCACTGGAGAGTTTCCTTTTATTTTTCTCTAATTGAGAAAAGAGAACATATTTCTTCGTCTCCTACTCTAACCCAGATTTTTTTCCTGGTTGGTTGGGTGACCTCTCTGTGATTCACTGAATCAGTGGCAAGAGTGGCGGCTTCAGCGAGAGGTGAAGAAAGAGGAGAAGGCTTCAGAGGTAATTGAGGAGAGGGGAGGAAATGAGTCAACTTCCCCTGGGTGTGAAGTGTAAGTTGCCTCACACAGCGGAGGGTGGCCCTCTTCCTCTCAGAATTTCAACATTCCTTCCCTGTTTTCATTCTCCTACACCAATGCCACTGTTTCTTATGAATGAAAATCAGGCAGGTCGCTGTGAGTCACCCATTTTCACATAAAATCACAAGGGACTAACTTTTTTAAACTGGAAGCTAATTGGTGATTTATATGCAGAGCATACAAAGGGTTTGTAGTAATTAGACCGTATGAATGCTTATGAATGTGTAACTGGAAAGCAAGCTGATTTTCTCACAGAATTATGTATATGGAAATTTATGGTTCTGAAATGAATACATGCTTTTCTAAACAAGCTGGTATAAGCCAGACAGAGAATCCTACGAGTAAAGACAGCCAATGAGTGTTTTTGGAGAATAGTTGGTATAGGGTAGAACACATATCAGGGAGAGCGATTAAGGCAGAAAAATTCATTTTGAATAAGATCATGGTTGACTTTGAATGTCAGATGAAAGATTTTCTAAGTAGTTTAATAGGTGACTGGAAACCATTACAGACTTAAGAATAGGGCATAGGATTGAGCTCAGGACAGAAAAATACTTCAGGAAAAAAGAACTTAATAGCCTGAGAATTGTCTGGATGCTCGGGGAAAGTGAAAATGTGTTAATTTTAGAATGGTTTAATAGGAAAAAATAAGCCCTTTAAAAATAATTCTAAATAATAATTTAATCTTGATATTCTTATCTTGACTTGCTTAGTGTGTTTAATCTGAGTAAACTGCTACTTGGATTACCATCTGAATGTCTAATATGATAATGAGTAAATGGTAAACTTTGAGGTTTGCATTTATCTTGGTGAGTATTGGGAATATGGCAATGCAGTGGATATATATTGACTTGCTGTATATGAAATTATGAATAGTTCTACTTTAAAAAATCCCTTCACAAAATCAAAGCCTTTTGGAGGTAACAATACTATGGAATAACATTAATATTTATTTTTATTTATATATTTATTATTTTTTTTTATTTTACTTTAAGTTCTGGGATACATGTGCAGAATGTGCAGGTTTGTTACGTAGGTATACATGTGCCATGATAGTTTGCTGCGCCTATTGACCCATCCATCGTCTAAGTTCCCTCCCCTTGCCCCCCAGCCCCCACAGGCCCTGGTATGTGTTGTTCCCCTCCCTGTGTCCATGTGTTCTCATTGTTCAACTCCCACTTATGAGTGAGAATGTGTGGTGTTTGGTTTTCTGTTCCTGTGTTAATTTGCTGAGGATGATGGCTTCCAGCTTTGTCCATGTCCCTGCAAAGGGCATGATCTCATTCCTTTTTATGGCTGCATAGTATTCCATGGTGTATATGTACAACATTTTCTTTATCCAGTCTATTATTGATGGGCATTTTGGTTGGTTCCATGTTTTTGCTATTGTAAATAGCGCTGCAATAAACATATGTGTGCACGTGTCTTAATAGTAGAATGATTTATATTCCTTTGGGTATATACCCAGTGATGGGATTGCTGGGTCAAATGGTATTTCTGGTTCTAGATACTTGAGGAATCTCCATACTGTCTTCCACAATGGTTGAACTAATTTACATTCCCACCAACAGTGTAAAAGCGTTCCTATTTCTCCACAGCCTTGCCAGCATCTATTGTTTCTTGACTTTTTAATAATTGCCATTCTGACTGGCATGAGATGGTATCTCATTGCGGTTTTGATCTGCATTTCTCTAATGATCAGTGATGTTGAGCTTTTTTTCATATGCTTGTTGGCCATGTGAATGTCTTCTTTTGAGAAGTGTCTATTCATAACCTTTGGCCACTTTTTGATGCAGTTGTTTGTTTTTTCTTGTAAATTTGTTTAAGTTTCTTGTAAATTTTGGATATTAGACCTTTGTCAGATGGGTAGATTGCAAAAATTTTCTCCCATTCTGTAGGTTGCCTGTTTACTCTGATGATAGTTTCTTTTGCTGTGCAGAAGCTCTTCAGTTTAATTAGATACATTTGTCAATTTTGGCTTTTGTTGCCATTGCTTTTGGTGTTTTAGACATGAAATCCTTGCCCATGCCTATGTCCTGAATGGTATTGCCTAGGTTTTCTTCTAGGGTTTTTATGGTTTTGGGTTTTACATTTAAGTCTTTAATCCATCTTTTTTTTTTTTTTTTTGTATAAAAACGGCATATTCTTTATTTTACATTCTTTAATTTCAGAACAAAATGAAGAAAATAAAATAAACCACAATACACAACATCCAATCCTGCTGTCAAGAGTAGAGAGGGAATGGGGCTTGACACCCTTGGTTTCCTGCCTTCAACACAAGGACAGGAGAGGGAAAAAAACACTAGACACCAGCAGCCAGGTGGGACAGGGGCACTCGAGGCTGCAGTGGGAGCCATGGGGACACTATACAAGGGCACAAGTTTTCCAACTATGAACTCCTAATCGACTTCTTCCATGCGAGACGCATCCTCATCACCCTCAAGAGGGGGGATCTCATCAGGAACTGCATCACTGGGTTCCTCTGCTGCCACTTCATCTTCATCAGTACCTAGACCTAGCTTGATCATGTGGTAGATGTGGTTGGAGTGGGTCTGGGGATCCTCAAGGGAAAAGCCCGAAGATAGCAGGGCGGTTTCAAACAGCAGCACCACCAGGTCCTTAACTGCCTTATCATTCTTGTCGGCCTCAGCCTTCTGCCGCAGCGTCTCCATGATGGGGTGGTCGGGGTTGATCTCCAGGTGCTTTTTGGCCATCATATAGCCCATGGTGGAGTTGTCCCGAAGTGCCTGGGCTTTCATGATCTGCTCCATATTGGCTGTCCAGCCGTAGGTGCTGGTCACAATGCAGCAGGGTGAAGACACAAGTCTATTGGAGATTGTCACCTTCTCAACCTTCTTATCTAAGATTTCTTTCATGAGCTTGCAGAGGTTCTCAAACTTTTCCTTGCTTTCTTCCATCTTCTTCTTCTCCTCCTCATCCTCAGGTAGCTCCAGACCCTCCTTGGTAACTGAGACCAGGCTTTTCCCATCAAACTCCTTGAGCTGCTGCACACAGTACTCGTCAATGGGCTCAGTCATATATACCACCTCGAAGCCCTGTTTCCGCACTCGCTCCACAAAAGCAGAGTTGGCCACCTGCTCTTTGCTCTCACCAGTGATGTAATAGGTGGACTTCTGTGTCTCCTTCATGTGAGAAACATACTACGACAGAGATGTCATCTCATCTCCAGACTGGGAGGTGTGACAGCGCAGCAGCTCAGACAGGCGGTGGCGGTTAGTGGAGTCTTCGTGGATTCCAAGCTTGAGATTTTTAGAAAATGCCTCATAGAATTTCTTATAATCTCCTTGTCTTCTGCCAGCTCAGAGAAGAGCTCAAGGCACTTCTTAACAATGTTTTTGCGAATGACTTTCAAGATTTTGCTCTGCTGGAGCATTTCTCGGGAGATGTTCAGGGGCAGATCCTCAGAGTCAACCACACCATGGATAAAATTGAGATACTCTGGTATCAACTCATCACAGCTGTCCATGATGAACACACGGCGGACATACAGTTTGATGTTGTTCTTTTTCTTCTTGTTCTCAAAAAGGTCAAAGGGAGCCCGACGAGGACTGAATAGCAATGCCCTGAATTCCAACTGACCTTCTACAGAAAAGTGCTTGACTGCCAAGTGGTCTTCCCAGTCACTGGTGAGGCTCTTATAGAATTCTCCATACTCCTCTTGGGTGATGTCATCATGGTTTCTGGTCCAAATAGGCTTGGTCTTGTTTAGTTCTTCCTAGTCAATGTATTTCTCTTTGATCTTCTTAGTTTTCTTCTTCTTATCCTTACTGCTGTCATCCTCCTCATCTGAACCCACATCTTTGATCTTGGGCTTTTCTTCGTCATCTTTATCTTCCTCTTCTTTCTCACCTTTCTCTTCTTCTGCCTCATCATCACTAATTTCCTTGTCTTGTTCCTTCTCCAAATAAAGGGTGATGGGATAGCCTATGAACTGAGAATGCTTCTTCACTACTTCTTTGACCCGCCTCTCTTCTAAGTACTCTGTCTGATCTTCTTTAAGATGGAGGATCACTTTGGTACCCCTGCCAATGGGCTCACCATGATCAGCATGCACAGTGAAGGAACCTCCAGCAGAAGACTCCCAAGCATACTGTTCATCATCGTTGTGCTTTGTGATCACAACCAGTTTCTCTGCCACCAGGTAGGCAGAAAAAAGCCAACACCAAACTGCCCAATCATGGAGATGTCTGCACCAGCCTGAAGAGCCTCCATGCATGCTTTAGTACCAGACTTGGCAATGGTTCTCAAATTATTTATGAGATCAGCTTTGGTCATGCCAATGCCTGTGTCTACCAAAGCCAGGGTACGTTCCTGAGGGTTGGGGATGATGTCAATTTTCAGCTCTTTACCACTGTCCAACTTTGAAGGGTCTGTCAGGCTCTCATAGCGAATCTTGTCCAAGGCATCAGAAGCATTAGAGATCAACTCCTGAAGGAAAATCTCCTCGTTGGAATAGAAGGTATTGATGATGAGGGATATGAGTTGGGCAATTTCTGCCTGAAAGGCAAAAGTCTCCACCTCCTCCTCTCCATGGTGCACTTCCTCAGGCATCTTGAAAAGAAAAGGCTTACACGTACTGGAGAGCAATGTGAGCTTGCTTTCTGATACCCAGGCAGCACCAACGCTGTGCTGGAGTGACTTGAGAGCATCTTTAATCCATCTTGAGTTAATTTTTGTATAAGGTGTAAGGAAGGGGTCCAGTTTCAGTTTTCTGCATATGCCTAGCCAGTTTTCCCAGCATCATTTATTGAATAGGAGATCTTTTCCCTGTTGCTTGTTTTTGTCAGGTTTGTTGAAGATCAGATGGTTGTAGATGTGTGGCATTATTTCTGATGTCTCTGCTCCATTCTATTGGTCTTTGTCTGTTTTGGTGCCAGTACCACACTGTTTTGGTTACTGCATTATTGTAGTATAGTTTGAAGTCAGGTAGCATGATGTCTCCAGCTTTGTTCTTTTTGGTTAGGATTGTCTTGGCTATACATGACCTTCTTTGATTCCAAATGAAATTTAAAGTAATTCTTTTCTAATTCTGTGAAGAATGTCAGTGGTAGTTTGATGGGAATAGCATCAAATCTATAAATTACTTTGGGCAGCATGGTCATTTTCACAATATTCATTCTTCCTATCCATGAGGATGGAATGTTTTTCCATTTGTTTGTGTTCACTCTTATTTTATTGAGCAGTGGTTCATGTTTCTCCTTGAAGAGGTCCTTCACATCCCATCTTAGCTGTATTCTTAGGTATTTTATTTTCTTGGTAGTGATTGTGAATAGGAGTTTGTTCATGATTTGGCTCTCTGCTTGTTTATTGTTGGTGTGAGGAATGCTTTTGATTTTTGCACATTGATTTTGTATCCTGAGACTTTGCTGAAGTTGCTTATCAGCTTAAGGAGTTTTTGGGCTCAGATGGTGGGGTTTTCTAAATATAGGATCATGTCATCTGCAAACAGAGACAGTTTCACTTCCTCTCTTCCTATTTGAATACTCTTTATTTATCTTGCCTGATTGCCCTGGCCAGAACTTCCAATACTATGTTGAATAGGAGTGGTGAGAGAGGGCATCTGTGTCTTGTACCAGTTTTCAAAGGGAATGCTTCCAGCTTTTGCCAATTAAATATGATATTGGCTGTGGGTTTGTCATAGATAGTTCTTATTATTTTGAGATATGTTCCATCAATACCTAGTTTATTGAAAGTTTTTAACCTGAAGAGATGTTGAATTTTATCAAAGGCCTTTTCTGCATCTATTGAGAAAATCATGTGGTTTTTGTCTTTGCTTCTGTTTATGTGATGGATTACATTTATTGATTTGCATATATTGAACCAGCTTTGTATCCTAGGGATGCAGCTGACTTGATTGTGGTGGATAAGTTTTTTAATGTGCTGCTGGATTTGGTTTGCCAGTATTGTATTGAGGATTTTCACATCAATATTCATCAGGGATATTGGCCTTAAGTTTTCTTTTTTTTATTGTGTCTCTGGTAGGTTTTGGTATCAGGATGATGCTGGCTTCATAAAATGAGTTAGGGAGGAGTCCTTCCTTTTCAATTGTTTGGAATCATTTCAGGAGGAATGGTACCAGCTCTTTATACCACTGGTAGAATTCAGCTGTGAATCCATCTGGTCCTGTGCTTTTTATGGTTGGTAGGCTATTAATTACTGCCTCAATTTCAGAACTTGTTATTGATCTATTCAATAACAAGATTTATTCTATACTATAAACACCTCTATGCAAATGAACTAGAAAATCTAGAAGAAATGGATAAATTCCTGGACACATACAACCTCCCAAAACTAAACTATCGGGGGAACCCACCCCCGATAATTCAACATTATTTCACGTAGGTTCTTTTCTATTTCCCTAAGTGTCTGCCAGTCTGAGAAATAAAGGCAAAGAGCACAAAAGAGAGAAATTGTAAAGCTGGGTGTAAAATAATAATTCTTGTTATTGACTTCTTCCTGGTTTAGTGTTGCGGGAAGTCAGTGACCCCGAATGGAGGGACTGGCTGAAGCCATGGCAGAAGAACATAAATTGTGAAGATTTCATGGACATTTATTAGTTCCCCCAAATTAATACTTTTATAATTTCTTATGCCTGTCTTTACTGCAATCTCCCGAACATAAATTGTGAAGAGTTTATGGACATTTATCACTTCCCCAGTCAATACTCTTGTGATTTCCTATGCCTGTCTTTAATCTCTTAATCCCGTCATCTTTGTAAGCTGAGGATGTATGTCACTTCAGGACCCTGTGATGATTGCGTTAACTGCACAAATTGTTTAAACAATATGAAATCTGGGCACCTTGAAAAAAGAACAGGATAACAGCGATGTTCAGGGAACAAGGGCGATAACCATTAGGTCTGGCTGCCTGAGAGCTGGGCAGAACAGAACCATATTTCTCTTCTTTCAAAAGCAAATAGGAGAAATATCGCTGAATTCTTTTTTTCAGCAAAGAGAATGCCTTCCTAGGGGAAGGTCTCTGAAATGGCTGCTCTGGGAATGTCTGTCTTTTACGGTTGTAGGTAAGGGAAGAAATAAGCCCTGGTCTCCCATAGCGCTCCCAGGCTTATTAGGACGAGGAAATTCCTGCCTAATAAACTTTGGTGAGACCGGTTGTCCGCTCTCAAACCCTGTCTCCTGATAAGATGTTATCAATGACAATGCGTGCCCGAAACTTCATTAGTCATTTTAATTTCACCCGGGTCCTGTGACCTCACCCTGCCTCCATTTGCCTTGTAATATTTTATTACCTTCTGAAGCATGTGATCTCTGTGACCCAACACCCTATTTGTACACTCCCTCCCCTTTGAAAATCACTATTAAAAACTTGCTGGTTTTGTGGCTTGGGGGGCATCACGGAACCTGCCGACACATAATGTCTCCCCTGGACACCCAGCTTTACAATTTCTCTCTTTTGTGCTCTTTGCCTTTATTTCTCAGACCAGCAGACACTTAGGGAAATAGAAAAGAACCTACGTGAAATAACGTTGAATTATCGGGGGTGGGTTCCCCCGACAGTTTAGTTTTGGGAGGTTGTATGTGTCCAGGAATTTATCCATTTATTCTAGATTTTCTAGTTCATTTGCATAGAGGTGTTTATAGTATTCTCTGATGGTAGCTTGTATTTCTGTGGGATCAGTGGTGATATTCAATTTATCATTTTTTATTGTGTCTATTTGATTCTTCTCTCTTTTCTTCTTTATTAGCCTGGCTAGCGGTCTATCTATTTTGTTAATTTTTTCAAAAAAATCAGCTCCTGGATTCATTGCTTTTTTGGAGGGTTTTTATATCTCTATCTCCTTCAATTCTGCTCTGATCTTAGTTATTAATAATTTTTAATTTGATGGGATAAATTGTAAGTCAGGAGTTACACATGGGCAGAACAGGAAGGAAATGAAAACGTACTGAGTGACTGTTACATGTTACATGTTACAGTATTAGCTCATTTAATCCTGAGAACAGTACTGTAGGGAAAGAATTATTATGCCCATCTCACAGATAAGGAGTTACACAGACTTGGCCCTTCATTATTTTCAACTGTGTGATCCTAGGCAAGTGATTTAACCTTTTTAGCCCTCAGTTTCCTCATTGGCTAAAATGGAGACAGTAAAGTATGCAGGTCCTAGGGGTATTGTCTGGATTAAATTCAATAACAGACATTAAAGTTTTAGCCCAGCACCTGCCTTATGACAGTTTATACATACTGGCTTGCTATGTGCCAGGTACTGGCTGAGAAACTTAAATTTATCATCTCATTAAATCTTCACACAAATGTTATGGTAGGCACTCAATTGTTATGTTGTTCTTACAAGTAATAACAAGCTTTATTAATTATTTTACTGTGGCTCAGAGAGATTCTTACTCATCCAAGATCAATAAACTAACAAGTGGCAGAACTGATATTCCAATTTAGCTTTATTTGAGGGCAAAAGCCAGACACTTTTAAGAATATCTCACATTAGAAAATGATGGGAATACTCATAAATTACCTAAGCTATTTCATCTCCCTGTCTCTGATTTGGAGACCTATAAGAGAATAAGCCACTGCTAGGTACAGGATCACATTTTAAAAATCGTGACGTATTTAAAAAATGGAGAAAAATGAAAATGTGATGTGGATGGAAAGAATGTGTGTATGAAAACAATCAAGGTTGTAGCTGGAAGAGGGCCTACAATATCAGTGATACTTGAGCATCTATGATTGTGCCTAGTCTTTCAGTATGGCATTAAAATAAAGTGCATATTAACATGAGTGCATATGCCTGAGCATTGAGAATCTATGCAACATTATGTCTCATGTCTCATTAGACAGGAGACAAAGTGAGGCACATGAGAACATACAATCGCTTTACTAGTTTTAAATTCCACACCTAAGTTATAAACCAGATTTCTGCAACTACATGCATGTGACACAATTATAAATATATAGGCAGCATCTAATGTACTTTTATTAGGTACCCCTGTGAATAAATCCACTATTTTTGGATGGAGACTTCTGCTTAGGGTGGAGGCATGAGGAAGAGAAAGAGGAAGAGATGTTTGCTCAATTACCACTGGGTTCATTTTAGAATTTAGGATTTTATTTTCCTAATGTGGTTTGCAAATTTAGGGACAGATGTGAACTTTGCTAGACGAGATTTTGAAGACTATCTTGGAGAAGGATTGAGCCAGGAGAAGAAATATGAACTTGGCATCTGACAGGGAATTTGAAAGAAAATAGAAATGTTTAGTGTGTTTTATTATTATTGTTTTATTTTCTGTGTGGCATATGTGTTTCTGTCACCCATGAAATTGTCATCCAAATTTGCCTTTTGGGAGCTAATGCTTGAAAGAGTAATTGTTGTCTGTGTGTTTTTGTTTGGTTTGGTGGAAGGATAAAGAGGGCCCTACTTTAAGGTGGGGGAGAACACACTCACCTACGTATGACTACTTTTTCCAGCCTGCAAAAGCCATAGCCTTGAACCTGTTGTACTCTCAGTTTATAACTCTTTTCCGTAAATACTTATTTCTGTTTATACAAGACCTTTCCACCTCTGAGAATATGATACAATTTCCCTGAGCAGGTTAGTACAAGTTAGGCAAAGTGTTGGGTCAGAAAACAAGTGACAACAAAACGTGGCATTATGATGAACTTAAATTGACCCTGATTGGATCTGGTGTATGTGGCCTCTTGGAGTGAATTCTGTCTTCATTTGGTACATGGACTGAAAGTTTGTGGGGCCCTTGTACTGCCCATATCTTTTTTAATTGGGAATCTCTGTACTGGTAACTGGAAACAAGTTTTACTCCTTTTTGGTGATTCCTCCTGCAGACATCAATTAAACTTGACTATAGCACTAACTTGCTTAGTTAAAGCAAGAAGAAAATTCCTTTGCTCTTGTACTCTCTGCTGGGGCCTCTGGTGGATGCTGAATGCCCTGTTGACCTCTGACAAAATCTGCAGCTGGTGAATTTGTTACCTATTCTCCCGGTTGGGTCGGGCCCAGTGGTTCTCCTCTGCTGCCTTAACCCTACCTGGGGTTGCTGGCATTGTAGGCCCCTCACATCTCTGCCATGTCATCCATGCAGCCTTAATCCAGCCTGCCTGCTTTATGACGTCATTCACCATGGCTGTCCCTCAGCAAGATTTCCACCCCTCTGGTCAGCTCTCTTCTGTGCCTACTCTGGGGCACATTGGAGTTTCCGGATTTCTCTCTCGCACTTCAGAGCTTAGAGAGGAGAACAAGTGCTAATCTGACTGTCTGTCTGCCTAATCACAGCACACTACTGTGTCTCTGTTATATCCTGGGGAGCATCTTTTCGGATGTTATGTTTCCTTGTGAAGCTTGATCTCTTCTTGACTGTTCCCCGGAAAGCCAGGCAATTATTCCTTCTGCTCTAGGAAATGCCCAACCCTGTCATGAAATTTATCTGGGTTTTCTATCTCTTTGCCTCTTGGGCTCAAGTTCAGGGAAGTCTGACTGTACATTTCTGTCTTCATGTATCCTTGTTCCTCTCCCCCGAGCTTTCCTCCTTCCCTCCTTCCTCCACCTGCTACACGCAACTTCACATTTCATCTCCCTCACTCCAGCTTTATTCTTGGCTTTATTCCATGGTGTATGAGGAGACGGGTGGAAATAAAAGGATGTACTAACAAAAGAACATCAATTAGAAAACATTTAGCAAACGTAGTGTACTTATTTCATGTTCAAAGCACATGAGAGAACTGAAAGATAAGAAAGGACAAGTTCATCATTCTCACAGACCTTACGAAAGTCTAGTTGGAAGATGTGCCCAGCGAACACTAAGAAAGACAAATGAGGGTAGACCATACAATAGAAATGGGCAATATTTTGAGAGATTTGGAGAGGGAGATGCCTAATGGAGGGTGAGAGTGGAGAATTTTTGAGGGAAGAAAGGAGAAGTCATAGACAGCAGGTGGAGAGAAACGGGTTGGACAAGGCAGAAAGAAAGGCACGGTGACATGGTAGAATGACAGTGTAACCGTCTGTGCTGTGCAGTCACGTGTGGCAGGAAACACATCTGGAAGTCTGATCGGGTCTCAGGCTCTCTGGCCTCTGTATCGCCGTCTTATCAGAAGAGAAAATGTAGGCAAATCTTTACCAACCCGATCATACTTTCTCTGCTAATCTCTTATCTCTAAGTAAATTGTTTGCTTGTCCAATTAAAAATTCCCACCCCAAACTTGCATAGTTGGATAGTTAGAACCCTTCTCTTCTGACTCATGAGGGAGAGAGAAATTATAACTTAGTTTACTTTTATAGAGCTATTTGTGGGACTGTCTGGTTTGCCTGTGAATAATGGTTCTTTTCTTTCTTCGTTTCTCACCAGCCAGTGTGGTTTGTGATTTAATAGCCAGGCAGAACACTAAAATTAATACTTGGTAATATTTTAAGCCCAAATGAGGACAAGAGAGGGGGAAATTTTAAGTTATTAGTTTTTTTGTGTGGGAGCTTACTGTCTCCTTTGGAAAGCATTTAGGCCAGGCAGAACCTCACCATTAGTTTTTTGTTTTTGTTTTTTTCAAATGAGCGTGAAAAAGGAAATGTCCCTGTTCCTGCTTTATTTTTCCTTTAAACACAAATCAATTCCTAGATGAGAAGATAGGGTTTAAAACCCAGTTCCTGGCACAATGAAGTGATGGCTTGCAGAGATCAATTTACTTAAAAAAAAAAAAGATACAATTCTGCTTCTTTTGTGAGTAAAGTTTTTTTGTGTGTGTCAATGGAAGAGAGACATGTTCTTTTTGTGTGTGTGTAGGTATTGGGGAGTTCAGGTAAAGAAAGAGTGTAAAAAATAAGACTTACATAAGATACCTAAGCAGGTGCACTTTACCAGAATAAGATTTGTGGCCACCTTATTTTCCCTTTTTCTTTAATGCCTTTGAAGGAAGCTAATTTTTTTTTTCCTAAAAGAAAACAATTCTTCCTCTTGCAATAGTAGAACCAAGAAGAAATGGACACTTGACCACTCTTTGCTTTGGGGAGGAGCATTTATTTTTTCTAGCGTCTGCTAGGAAATATTCAGATAATACAGAATATGCATTTTGGAAAGATGTGGGCCTGCACATATTTCCCATTATTGCCTCTGATGATGTACTGTGTACAATCATGTTAATGGACTTGTCATAAAATTGAATAAATGATTGTAAGGAATATTTATTTTTTGTTATTTGTTTAGATTTGCTTTTCATTTCTACTGTTAAAATCCTTGATAGAATTTGGATCTGTGTCCCCACTCAAATATTATGTTGATTTGTAATCCCCAATGTTAGAGGGCCTGGTGGGAGGTTAACTGGATGATGGGGATGGATTTCCTTCCTGGTACTGTTGTTATGATAGTGAGTGAGTTTTTGTGAGATCTGGTTATTCAAAAGTGTGTTGCAGCCAGGCACGGTGGCTCACGACTGTAATCCCAGCACTTTGGGAGGCCAAGGCAGGTGGATCACCTGAGGTCAGGAGTTCGAGACCAGCCTGGCCAACATGGTGAAACCCCATCTCTACTAAAAATACAAAAATTAGCTGGGTATGGTGGCAGGCACCTGTAATCACAGCTACTCAGGAGGCTGAGGCAGGGGAATTGCTGGAACCTGGAAGGCGGAGGTTGCAGTGAGCCGAGATCATGCCATTGCACTCTGACACGGGCTGACAACAGGGTGACTCCATCTCCAAAAAAAAAAAAAAAAATTCGTGTTGCACCCCCCGCCTCAACCTCTGGGTTCTGCTCCTTTCATGTAAGAGGCCTGCTCCTGCTTTGCTTTCTGTCATGATTGTATGTTTCCTGAGACCTCCCCAGCCATGCTTCCTGTACAGCCTGCAGAACCATGAGCCAATTAAACCTCTTTTTCTTATAAATTACCCGGTCTCAGGTATTTCTTTATAGCAGTGTGAGAGCAAACTAATACAATCCTCCATCACTTAATATACGTTACTTGATTTCATCCTAGCAGCAATACAAAGCTTGGTATGATTGGTCTCATGCTGTTGATGAAACCGAGGTTCAGAGTAGCTAAATGAAGGACAAAACTTGGATAGAATTCCAAGGCTTTTTAACTGTGAGCCACAAGCACTTCCTAGTTTCTTTATATCCTATTCTTCCCAAGACAACTATGTGTAGATAGTGGAGTCCTTAGTGACTATTTGTTCATAATAAAAATAATTTGGAATCTTTTAAGGTAGGAAAAAAATAAGTAAATCTACTCAAGATGCCTCCAGGAGCCTCCTGTTTAATATTCAAGTAGTCCAGGCTCCCATCAAACATGACTACGGGAATCTGGTAATTTTATCAGATTCTTTTATTCTTGGTATTTCTGCTCTGACTGTTGTTGGTTTCCTTGGCCACTTCCCATATGCATACTCATTCTCTTACTATCAGATCACCAACTTTTCAGTCTTTCCTTCCTCCCTTGCAGATTTCCTCAAATGTGGACAAGAGCCCCTAAGTTCTTTTTAGAAAAACGTTTCAGAAGGCTCACAAATTACAGAGGGAAATTATAATGCAGTAAGGAAAGAAAACCATGAAACTCCACACATAATATCAGTAGATACAAATTCAAGATATTTGTAACATCTGCCGGCCTCCCACCTCCATAGAGGCCAACTATTTCTAGGCTCCTTGAGGGTGGCAGGCCAGGGACCATTCCAGATGGGTGTGCCTCTCTCTATCCCTGGATTGCAGGTTCCCCACTCTCAAGGGGATATGCCAGTCTATGCCCACCCCTGAGTTACCATCCTTGACCTCATCTTAATGATTGCTGAGTTGCAGAGCTCCCACCAAACACTACTTTCTACATGAAGACTTGGAGCTGGTTGCTCCTCATCCCCCAACCTCTTTCTCCAGCAGAAGGCTTGGCGTTCACTTGTGCTTAATCAAATGACTCATTCAGTTTTGTGCCAAATTCATCATTTCCACAAAGAGAAAGTCTCCCACCTTCATAGAGCAAAAGAAAACTACTGATACATTTATGTATTTCTCTTGCTTTCTTTACAAGTATAGGAATATTAAGGTCCAGGCTCTAAGAATCTTAATACTCAAACACAGTTGAAAGCCTATTTTTGTTTGTTACTCCTTAAGGCAAGTTTAATACCTTAGCTGTAATAGCTTATGAAATGTTCAGATTATTTTCTTTTACTTTTGAGTAGAAGAGATGATGCTCTACTACATTTAAGTAAAAAGCAAATTATGATGTGGGATAGGATGGGTCCGTGGGGAGATTTGAAATATTTGCTGTCAGTGGGTACTTTGCAGAGGTCTTGGAGCTCTACCAGCTATGGAACACTGAAACTTTTCTGTTGAAATGTTTTGTAAGTGATTGCTATTAAATATGTCTTCAGGATTTTGTTAAGAACTAGTTCACTTAGCTGGTTAGAACACTATGCTGTTTGTTTTGTTTGTTTGTTTCTTTTTGCCAGGCATGGTGGTGCACATCTGTGATCCCAGCTTCTCAGGCACAAGAATCACTTGAACCCAGGAGGTGGAGGTTGCAGTGAGCCAAGACTGCACCACTGTACTTCAGCCTGGGTGACAGAGAGAGACACTGTCTCAAAAAAAAAATTCTATTATTATTTTTTCCATCTATCTAACCAGGTGAAAAAAAATTTTTTTTAATTTCCTTCCTTCCTTCCCTTCCTTCCTTCCTTCCTTCCCCCTCTCTCTTTCTTTTTCTTTCTTCCTTTCTTTCTCTCCTTTCCTTCTTTCTTTCTTTCTTTCTTCCTGTTTTTTTTGTGGAGACAAGTCTTGTTTTGTTGCCCAGGCTGGTCTCAAACTCCCGGCCTCAAGTAATCCTCCTGCCTTGGCCTCCCAAAGTGCTGGGGATTACAGGTGTAAGCCACCTCCTGGCCCTCTATTTTTATTTATTTTTTCTTCAACTTTTAAGTTCTGGGGTACATGTGCAGGATGTACAGGTTTGTTACATTGGTAAACGTGTACCATGGTGGTTTGCTGCACAGATCATCCCATCACCCAGGTGTTAAGTCCAGCACTCACTAGCTATTCTTCCTGAAGCTCTCCCTCCTCCCAACAGTGTGTGTTGTTCCCCACCATGTGTCCATGTGTTCTCACTGTAGATCACTACACTCTTAAAACAAATGTTCAAATGACATTTGGATGAGTAAGCTTAATTCTATGAATAGGCCACAGATTCTCCTTTTAAAATTTAAATTAAAAAATTATGCTAATACTATAGTTAGACTTCCTGAATTCAAACCAATTGTTTACTGTGTGACCTTGAATAAGTTACCTAATCTTTCTGTGCTAATTGACTGTAATATTGATAATATCTGCCTCATAGAATTGTTGACAAAGATTAAATGGAATTGTAAGTGTAAGGCCTTAGCCCAGTGCTTGATACACAATGCGTGTTCAATCAATGTTAACTATGATTATTAGTGTTAGTAATACTAGTAGTCGTTTTACCTAATAGGGGTCAATAAAAATGCAACTGTTGGGTAATCAATGATATCACATACAGCAGAGTTAAGGTTTGAGTCTCTGGAGCCAATTGTTGGTTCTGCTACTTGCAAGTTGTTTGGCTTATGTAAACTACCTAGCTTCTCTATGCCTCAGTTTCCTAATTTTGCAAAATGGGGATGATAATGATACCTACCTCACAGTGTGTTTTGATGATTCAATGAGGTAATCCATGTTAAGAACTTGATGTAATGCAAGGTATAGAGTAAGCCCTCTATTCATTTTATCCTTCTGTTGTTATTATCATTGTTTGACTTTTACTACTCTGAATAGTAACAATATCCTGAAAAGACTGCATCTTCCAGGATATAGGGAAGCATCTAAAAGTGTGCAGGGCTGAAGAACACTGGCAGGTCAAGAAGTCAAGGAAAGGGTATCTAATTAAAATTCTCAGAAAAATATTTTGCTGTAACCAAAAATGACAAGAATAGGCCAAAGACAAATTCTTGTGGAAGGTACCAGGGGAACTCTTCTAAATGTTCACACAAATAGTCAAGGATGTGGCTTATTGCCTCACCTGAAGGAAGGGTTTCCCTCCCCTCCAGGACTCCAGTTAGTTCTGTGTCACAGCCATGTCACCCCCACCCCTTTCCTGCCCAATGCCACTTCCCGAGCTGGTGAGATTTTCCTCTGACAACTCCTAGGGATGCAATGACATTGTTGTTTTATAGCTTCACTAGGAGGAATGTGATGTGAAAAATAACTCCAGCTCAGGAAATTGGAGATTTGGCTTTTGGCCCTGATGTATCAGTTGACCTTGGGCAAGTCATTTATGTTTTGCTGTTTCAGTTCCATTAAGTGTAAAGTAGAATGAATAATGTCTACCCTTCCAAATGTGCAGGATCACTTTGAAGAATGAACATGTGCAGAAGCCATTGGAAAATTTCAAATACTTTTCCACATTTAAAATTGTATTATTTGCCTGGATAACATGGTTTAGTGTGATAAAAATAGCAGATGCTTGGAGATGGGAAGAAGACCTGAGATCTAATTTCATCTCCGATATCTGCTGACTTCATGACCTTAGGTAAATCCCTTACTTTTTCTAAATCTCAGTTTCCTCACTGGTGAAATAAATGTGATAATGATTATCTCATAAGACGTTCGTAAGTATTAAATGAAATGAAACTTCTATGAAATGCTGATTTTGATTTTTCTCTAATGAAAATATTTATGTTTTTTGTACTTTCTTCTCTTTATCATTTGGTTTATTAAAGTATGTGTAGGTGTGACATGGAGTATTCCTTATTCTTTTTCCAGAACTATATACATGTGTGTGTCTACACACAAACATATATATACATATATATAAACACATCATAGACATAAAAATATTTTATATATTTATAAAACTGCTTTATGGATCTTGAGATTTATAATTTATGTATATATACTTATTAATATAGAAAGATTATTTAAATGTATATGTGTGTGATGTGTGTATTTGTATATGTGTATGAAATATCATACAGACATGACATATGATATATCTCACAATACAATATTTATGAATTTCTTTGGGTTTATCCCATATAGGGTTTAATCAGCCTCTTGATTCTGTAGTTCTATGTCTTTTGCCAAATGTGGGTTTTGTTTTTGTTTTTGTTTTTGCTTTAAATAAATACCTTAAAATCTGTTTATTAACACTAGTTATGGGAAGAGAGATCTTCTTAGAAGCACATTTTAAGCTATTAATTTGTGATGATAATTATGATGATTGGAAATATTAAAAAATTAGATTTTATATAATTCTGATTTTACTATTATTCATGATATCTCTCCCCAACCCCTTCCAACTGGTCTATATTTGTGTGATCTTGTTTTATAAATCTTCCCAAATCTTGGGATACCCAAATACCCAGATCTTCAGAAATACATCCACTTAAGAATGGTAAAAATATAACTACTAATAATGCAAGGGAGAAATACCAAAATGAAAATTCTTTTTTTCCTTCCTTCCACCCACCTACCTTCCATTCATCTTTCCAGCCTTCTTTCCTTTCTCTCATTCATCCTTCTATCTTTTCACCCATCCTACAAACATTTACTTAGGACCTACCGTATATCAAAGAAACAGAGCTGAACAAGATAGACACAGGCCTTGTCCTCAGGGCATTTACAGCATCTGCATGGAAGCAGAGGCATCCAGCAAACCTCAAGACTAGAAAGATATTCAAGAGTTCTTGTGACAGAGAATACACACATACTCGGGGCCTCTTGTTGTGCCAGAAACTGGGCAGTTATGAAACCAGCCAACTTCAAGAGTACCAGGCTGTACTTCAGAGCACACAGTGGAAAAATTTAGTGTGACAATTACAGACAACTCATGTTAATGCCAGGAGATCTGGATTCAATTCTGAATTTCTAGAAAGAGATGAACCCTACATACAAAAGGCACATATTAAGTGCTCATTTAAAAAAAAACTATTATTTTTGTGAAAGACTCAACAGAATACTCAATATTGTTGTGTTGCTTGATTTTAGTTGGCAAATTTGTATGGCTATTGACATTAGTTTTTAAAGAATACATAGTAAAAAATAATAGTACTACTGAAGATGGTAGCCAAGCTTGGAGATCTTCTAGGCGTTCAGAAAGGGAACAGTTCTTCAGTACTGCCTGTGAACATTAACACAGCTCTCGGCTGTTACAATTTATATATTCTCCACATGGTATGACTTCTTAGAAAATGAATGACCATAATGGAAGCCAACATATTTTCAACAAATGCCAAATTTTTTTTTTTAAGCCATTATTTGTCTCTCCTCTCCTTCTGAGATTTCAGCGACACACATTTAGATCCTTTTTAATAGTCTCACTCTTCCCCATGGTGCACCCCCCTTTTTTTCTATTTTCTTTCCGTGATTCAGAATGAGTAATTTATATTGTTATATTTTCTAGTTCACTATTTTCTCTGTCTCCTCTATCCTGTTGTTGGGCTCATTCACCAAGGTTTTTATCTTGAAAATCTTATTTATCTTGAATAACCAAGGGTTATTGTATTTTTCAGTTCTAACATTTCATTTGGGTCTCCTTTATATCTTTATTTCTTTGTTGCAGCTTTCTATCTTCTTAAAATGTGTTTCAAGTGTGTTGGTAATTGCTCATTGAAGCATTTTTATCATGGCTGCTTTAAAATCTTTGTTAGATAATTGTAACGTCTCTATCATCTCTATGTTGGCATTTATTGATTGTGTTTTTACTTTCAGCTTGAAAGCTTGTTTCTTGGTATGATGAGTGAATTTTTATTGAAAACTGGACATTTTCATATTATTTTATGAGACTGAGACTTTTTCAAACTTTCTGTTTTAATTGGCATTTTTGATAGTTTAATTGTTTTTGTTTTGTTTTGTTTTAGGAGAGAAAACCTCTGCTCCTTACCGCCTGGTGGAGGTGGAAGCCCAGATTCCCCATGTGGCCTCCATTGGACATTATATATAAAGTAAGCATAAGAAGACTCTGATAGGTGTTGGGGCTCCTCCTTAGTGCTGGACAGTCTGGCTCCCCATGTGGTCTCCACTGACACCACGGGTCAGTGGCATCATTACCACTGGGCAGTGGTGAAAGTCTTAACTCTCCACCAGGCCTCCTCTGAAGCCACCCCTGTAGGGCAGGGGAGGAGTGCCTCATTACTGCTGGGTGAGGGTAGTCCAAGTCCAGGCACCCTACACAACCTCCACTGACACCATGAGAAGGGGTGTGCTGGGCTCTTTACATGCTGATGAATGAAAGTCCTGGATCCCTACTTAGTCTTCTTTGACCACACCTAGTGAAGGGAGTGTGTTATCTGGTGACACCTCTCTCCAGGGTGCAAGTCTTGGCTCTCCACGGAGCCTTTGTTGGTATTCATAGGAAGAGGGTGACAGTTGCTCTCTGGTATTTAATTGGAGTAAGCAGTTATTGGCAAAAGTTTTCTGTCTTGGCTGGGTGTGGTGGCTTACACCTGTAATCCCAGCACTTTGGGAAGCCAACTGGGGAGAAGCACTTGAGCCTAGGAGTTTGAGACCAACCTGGGCAACATAGTGAGACCTCATCTCTACAAAAAAAAAAAAAAATTAAAAATTAGCCGGGCATCATGGTGAGCACCTATTTGTACCAGCTACTGAGGAGGCTGAGGTGGGAGGGTCACTTGAGCCTGAAAGGTTGAGGCTGCAGTAAGCGATGATCACACCACTGCACTCCAATCTGGGTGACAGAGCAAGACCTTGTCTCAGAAAAAAAAAAAAAATCTGTCTTGCTAGGTATCCCCTTTCCTCATCCTTAGTTGAGAGAGCAGACTTTCGTTGGGAGTTACGAGTTATGAGTCTGTGCTTGTTTGCATTTCTGGGTTGCTGGCTTTTTCAACTACAAGTCTGGTATATGTAAGACAAAAAGAAAACGGAGGGAACTCATCACCATGTTGTGTCTCATATCCCAATTTCCCTAGCCTGTCTTCCTGATTCTCTCTGTCAGTCTCCTTATGTTTGTTTTATAGATAATGTGCGAGGTTCCTAGGTGTTGGTACTGGGAGGAGTGGGGAAAAGTACACTGACTCCATCTTCCCAGAAATGAATAGCCCACGCATTAATTTTTTCAAATAAAAGCTCCTTGAAAGTGTTCAAAAATACAGTTTACTCATCCATTCTATCCTTTTTTACTTAGTTTTTCCCTTGACCCAAAGTATTTCTAATATGATTGAGAGGAGGTTCCCAAGTCCAAAATGTGCTCTTAGGATGTTAATAAATACTGCAAATAAAAGGATAGGTAAGTTTGGGAAATGTTGTACTAAACAGTTTACTGCAGATTTTTAGAGTGCTTTTTATATGTTAATATGTGTTATAACATTTCCAGGTAATAGATTTTAGACCAGTGGAATACAACAATGGATTTAGAAGGGCAGGCAGGCAGTAGTTTACAGAGTAAAGAGGTAGCTAGATTAATTATCATTTTTAAAATGTTTGGCATCAAGATTGAAATAATGTTTTTGCCCCACCCAATGCATGAAAAAGTAAAAAACTAAATAAAAATTCTGTTGTTACACCAGAATTTACCATTTCTGTTTACATTCCATGGTCTTGTCCTTTGGAATACATATTTATAACACATTCCAGGCTCTAAACTTAAGACTTCTAAATGAACTTTATACATATTTAATAAAATAGAGAAGTTGAAGGAGTAATATGATGATTAAATGGAAATTAAAGGTGCATTTGAAGGTCACTCATGTTGTGTTTTCAATTAAAAAACAAACAAGAAGAAGCAGTGAATGCTCTGCTAACCCTGTAGAGAGACACAACTTTAAGGCTTCTGATAAACAAATCAGTCTTGGCTTTGGCTGCAGTAAAGAGTTAATTAATAAATAAGACTGGCCAGAAGTAACCCAATGTATTGTGTATTTAAAGTGCAGTTTCTTGTAGCGATATGTTTGAATAGCTGGGCAAGAAAAATAATATGTTTTCTTTCCTCTGGTACAAGCTGGAGGGGGGTAGAAGATGCACAAAGTGGAAGAGGAAAAGAGGACCCTCTAAGGAAGGATGTGGTAAGATGGTGTAACCAAAGCAAATTCCATGTGAAGGAAATGACAAATTCTACATTGTCCACAAGAGCATCCATTTGTCTGGGCCAAAGATTACACGTTTGTGTTGGAGCACTATACATGCCCCTTTCTGAGTTCAAAAACATTTTGAAAGCTAAAGAGAACTGTCAGTTCCTTCCACTAAATTACAGCTTTTGTTTGGCTTATGAACCCACTTGTAAGTATGTTTTCCATACCATCTGGCTCTTGTTCTTACTCTTGCCTAAAATCACAGGCAGAGGGCTTGGAAGTGAGCCTCCAGTAATTTAGTGAACTTGTGGCCATTGTGTAGGAGCATTCAAATTTTCTAAAACCATCCTCTTTAAGTGGATCTTAGCAGTTAGTAAGAAATATTCTATGATATCTTAATGCAAACTTTTTCTGTTTTTAAATGTTTGATTATGGAAAATTTCAAACATATAGAAAATATAGAGCATAGAACAATGGACTTCCATATACCTTGCAAGCAGCTTCAACAATGATCAGCTTTAGTACAATCTTGTTGCTTTCATTTCTGGACCTACCTGAACTCCCACCTAGGTTATTTTGAAGCATATCCTAAACATTGTAGCATTTCATTTATTAATAGTTCATTATGTATTTCTAAAAGGTAAGGGCTTTTTAAATAAATACAATGCCATTATCACACCTGAAAATAATAATTTCCTGAATTAACCAATCAATGTTAAATTTCCTTAATTATCTTATATTTTATTTTTACTGTTTGTTTGAATCAAGATCCAAAGACAGTTTGATCCTTGAACAACACAACTTGAACTGTGTGGGTCCACTTACACATGGATTTCCTTCTTCCTCTACCACTCTGGAGACAGCAAGGCCAACCCTTCCTTTTCCTTCTCCTCAACCTACTCAACATGAAGATGATGATCCACTTTTTTAATGATGATCCACTTCAAGTTAATGAACAAGAAATATATTTTACCTTCCTTATGATTTTCTTAATAACATTTTATTTTCTCTAGCTTACTTTATTGTAAGAGTACAGTATATAATACATATAACATACAAAATATGTGTTAATCAATTGACAAGGTTTCCAGTCAATAATAGGCTATTAGTAGTTACATTTTGGGGCAGTTAAAAGGTATGCATGGGTATTTGGCTGAACTGGGAGTTGCCACACTTAATCCCCATGTTGTTCAAGGGTTAACTGGGCTAAGATAATTCCTCTGTAAATCTCTTTTAATCTATAGGTTCTCTCTCTCTTCTTTCTGGTTTTGCAGTTTGTTGAAGAAATGGGTCATTTGTCAGATTTTTCTGATTGCGTCTTAGTAATACTGTCAAAAGGTCAAATTTAGATAAGACATTTTGTGCATGACTATTTCGTAGGTGGTTTTGTATAGATTCATCAAGAGGTACATGATGTCTGGCTGTCTCTCTTTTGTGAGTTTAAGAGGCATTGATGACAGTTGTCTAGATCTATTAATTCATTAGAGTTGCAGAATGGTCATATTATATTTAGCTCATTGACTTTCATCTCCCTTTGGCAATAGAATGGCTTACACTCCGTTCTTCCTTGTCCTAACAAGAATCAGGGCCCTATTCATATTTGACTACTCCCTAAGGAATTCTCAAATTTTCACAAATCTTCAAATACAATTTTGAATTCATTCAAGATTTTTACCAACAAGTTTCCTGACACTTCTACATGGGTTTAGAATTATTGTTATGGAATATAAGAACCAAAGTATTGTATTTCTTTTTAATATGTGATGCATTAATATTTTTAATTCAACTATTATTGTAAGCAGAAAAACAATGTAAAGGTTATTGGTTGGAGAAAGAGTTGAAATTTCTTAAAAATATTTATTTGGCAATCTCTCAATATCAAAAATGCAGAAATCTATATGAGCAAGAAATTCCACTTCTAAGAAATTTACTCCATAGACATATTTTTATAAATGTCCAAGAATATATAAACAAAATGTTTATTATAATACTATTTATAATTTTAAAAATAGGAAAAAGTAACTTCTCAATTTCCTTTAGCAGAAAACGGACTAAATAAATGATTTTATATTTGTATGATGACCTACTCTACAATTTTCACAAAGTATTAAGTAAATGTTTATGTACTCATATAGGGAGGTCACAGTCTATGAACTCTCAGCTTTTGTGGACAGGTAGGAAATGAAATTCTATTACTATGAATTGTATATAATTCTATAATTTTTATAAAAAGTATATTACTTTTTAGACAAAAAGTAAAATATAATAAAAATAATCTATAGCTTTAGGTAAGATGGGGAAAAATTTTATGTGAGTTCAATATTTCTGTAAGGACATTTAATTCACATGCAAGATCTTATCACTAGCAATTGTTAAGTCATGAGGGATAGTCTCATTCTTAATGCTGAAGGCAATCAACCACTGACAATGGGCGGCAATTAGGAACTTTAGCTTCTTGGATCAATGATC
This sequence comes from Homo sapiens, assembly GCF_000001405.40. Classification (NCBI taxonomy): domain Eukaryota; kingdom Metazoa; phylum Chordata; class Mammalia; order Primates; family Hominidae; genus Homo; species Homo sapiens. The sequence goes on along the minus strand of NC_000004.12, from coordinate 87,872,935 downwards.
CATGTCAATGAAAAGGAGCTGAAAACACTAGATATGATACTATGTAAGGGATACAGGGACAAATTAGTTCTAGCTAGGGAATGATTTGAGACTACCTGGCAGTGGCAGAGTTGGAAAGATGGGAGCTGGACTTTGATACATTGGGATAGGTGGGAGAGGTGAGACTGGCAGTCCAGACAAAGATGACAGGATGTAAAGGTGTGCTTGGGTAAAGGTGTAAAGACTATTTTGGTTGGGGTGAAGGGTTTATGTAGGGGAGAAAGGCAGGAAAGGATAGAAAGCTACATCTGGACCTTGAAGCCTGGTGTGGGGATATGGATTTGTAGGCAATGAGAAGTCACTAAAAATGTGCAGGATTGATCAGTAAAGGAGAGACATATTGAACTGCATAGGGTCAGGGAAGACTAATCTGTAATATTTTAAAAGACTATGGACTTGAAATCAAGAAGAGAAATCATCCCTTCTTATACTTTTAACTGAAGATTTTAATAACTGCCTGCCTCAGGAAAACAGTGAGAACACTTTGCCTTTTGCTTATTACACTAATTGGTTATTTTAATGAACTCAATTTTGTCACCCAGCACCTCTAGCTGTAATTTTTTCCACTGGAGCAAGAAGAAATATCAGCTGACCATTTTATTCATCAGAGTGGTGTTGTTAGCTTTCCACCTTCCTAATGAAATTCTTCAGTCAGCTGCGAAAATAGCAGGAAGCTAGTTATATTTAGCAAAGGAAAGAGCAAGAAGTTGAAGCAATATGCAGGGAAGGGGAAAAATAGAAGCACCAAGTCTTATGATTAGTTCAACCAACAGTATTGCTTATGATTTTCCAGATTTTTGTAACTGGCAAAAGCAGTGTTTTTTTTTTTTTAATAAAAGTAAAGCCTACAGGTTCCTTCACTATTATGTCTAAATAAAATATTTTATTCATACAAGAAGCAGGGTATTTTTAGATTTCAAAGGAATGATAGAATAATGTACCTTTTGAAATAGACCAGTGGTAAGCATATCATACTGTTATTCAGTGCTTTCTTTCTGATTAAAAACACCGCAGAGCTAAAAATTGGCAGAATAACTCTTCTCAGTCAACTTCTCACAAGACTTCAACTTTCTCATAATCCTGTATTAAATTATCTCCATTTCTGTGAATTCCAGAAACTTCACCCAAGTTAATAGTTTTCAACCGTGGTCCACAACACTTAATGAGGCATGTAATATAAAATTTCCACTTACAAGGGCTGCCCTCTACATAAGTAGACAATGTCCAGTCCTAATGCATATCAGCTCTTCAGATTTTTTAAGTCACTGCCACTGTTCCTCTGGTCTTCTCTTTTACAAGGAAAGCAGCCTCACTGCCTTCATTCTTCCTCACTGTTAACTTTCCAGCCTATTGAGGTGCAGGTACAATCTAATCAGAGTATATCTTTAATGGCCTATGATAATTTCTAGGCTTGTAATATCATTTCTCACCTTTGGTTCATATTGAGTTTATGGTCAACTCAACCTCCTAGACTTGAAATTAAAGGGCACCGTTGTAGCGTGTCTTCCTGTTTAATTAGAAGAACATTATTCTGATGTCCTTCTAGGGAATCTGTTTTGTGAATATGAGACCTGTTGACCCTTCAACTCTTCTTTCACATTAGGCATGCACAGAAAAATGTTTGCTTAAACTTTCAAGGAAGTTATCTTTCTTTTGTATTTGTAATTTTACTCCAGTCTCTGAAGTAAATAAATTAAAAAAGAAAAGAATGGAAAGGCTTGGCCAGGCGTGGTGGCTCACGCCTGTAATCCCAGCACTTTGGGAGGCCGAGATGGGCAGATCATGAGGTCAGGAGTTAGGGACCAGCCTGGCCAATATGATGAAACCCTGTCTCTACTAAAAATACAAAAATGAGCTGGGCATGGTGGCGTGCGCCTGTAGTCCCAGCTACTTGGGAGGCTGAGGCAGAAGAATCACTTGAACCCAGGAGGCGGAGGTTGCAGTGAGCCGAGATTGTGCCACTGCACTCCAGCCTGGGTGACAGAGCAAGATTCCATCTCAAAAAAAAAGAAAAAAAAAAAAAAGAATGGAAAGGCTCTATATTTACCCCAAGGCCAGTTAATTTCTTAGTTGACTCATTGACTAGCCAACACTATTGGCTTTCCAGCTCATACCTAGTTTGTCTAGGTATTAATACTTATAAGAATCTTTCAGAATCATTTCAGAAACACACGTATACTATATTTAACTGCAAGACATCCTCCCTAGCACTGGAGCTCTTATTTTTCTAAATCATTTCCTCTTTGGTGGGCTGCTGTAGTTATCAACTTCAGAAGTTCCCCAAAAACTTGATCAAAGGAGGATAAATAGAAAAATCAAATAATTCTTACTCACTAGCCCCATTCTCCCTATTACTCTTGTCAAGCCTCCGGATGTCACCAGGGGACAATTATTAATAGAAAATTATCTTCCTGGATAATATAAAACATAAATCTTTCTTTAAGATGTTTCTTTTCTTTAAATACCCTAGCACAAAGTGACAGCAAAATTTGGCAGGAAAAATTGGAATAAATCTTGAACCTTCTTATAATAGACTTAAATTATATTTGCGTACCATTGGTAATGCTAGTGTTCATTTTAATATGTAAACCTCTTACTTCCTTTGAGACATTTTTTCAGTGTTTACATAATTATAACTGGGTGTTTTGAAGTATCCATCAGGAAGGATTTGTGTCATATTTTCACATGTGTCTAAGCCCAAATCCTAAATTCACTACTACTATATTTAAAAAGGGAGGGAATTTTGTGGATCCTAAGGGAATGCCAGAGTGGCATCCACAGACTATGCAGTATATAATTCTTCTCCAATGTATAAACAACAGAAGTCATCAGAATTTTCAAGTGCTTCATTGCCCTTTAATGTCCCAGGTCCAGTCAAGAGTTGCATTCATGATAAACTCAACATACTCAGTAACCCCTAACTCACTCTTCCCAGCAGGGCCTTATCCTGGCTTAGACCGGCTTGTGCTAGTGCTTTTTCACACAGGTGACTGTGAAGAGCAAGTGGTATCAAGTCTCAGATCTCATCCTAGAGAGCTCTCCCTGGTCATCTTCACTCTCAGCAATATCTGCTTTCCTTGAACAGTTGGCCCGGCACTGGCCAGTTAGCCGTACACTACTCTGTGTTACCTCTCATGTTGTCTCAAGATATCACTTGACTCACTGTGATGAAGAAGTGTACATGCCTTTGTTTTGGTTCCCTGAGATGTTAACTTCTTGAGCAACTTCACTCTGTTAGTCTCCCACAGTTTTTAGGTATTCAATGGATAATGATTGATTTTACTCTTTCTGGTATTATTTAGACCCTGTTTATTTTGCCAACAGCTCTATTATTATCATTTTTTAAATAAATAATTTCATTTTTAACTCTCTGTACAAATCATTTGTTTAAAGTGCTTTCATAAAATGCATTTTTCTTATAATACATGATTATATTCTTCCTTTCGGGAGTAATCTTGTTATACTTCTAAGTAGAACAAGTTATAAAAAAAAATAATTGGCAGGCTGGGCGCAGTAGTGGCTCATGCTTGTAATCCCAGCACTTTGGGAGACTGAGGTGGGTGGATCACTTGAGGTCAGGAGTTCGAGACCAGCCTGGCCAACATGGTGAAACCCTGTCTCTACTAAAAATATAAAATTTAACCAGGCATGGGGGTGCACACCTGTAATCCCACCTACTTGGGAGGCTGAAGCAGGAGAATAGCTTGAACCTGGGAGGTGGAGGTTGCAGTGAACCAAGATCGTGTCACTGCACTCCAGCCTGGGCAAAAAGAGCAAGACTCCATCTCAAAAAAAAAAAATTGCAAAAGAAATTATTAGTTAAGATTTTCCTGCTTCTCTATGAAGGTTCACTACTTTGAGTCTCTGGAGTAAACTGACAGTAGACAGATTATTAGGGGAAAAGGCATACAGGTTTACTATGTGCATATGCATGGGAGCCTCATAAAATATGACTCAAAGAAGAATAAGATGACTGAAGTTTTTATATCATACAGAGAGGAATAGGGGCTGGGGCTCCTGGAGGGTGAGGGTGACAAGCTATGAGAGAGTGAGGGGAAGAAATGCACTAAAACCAAAGGTTTGTCTTATTATGTAGATGAAGTCTCTCAGGTAGCAGCCCTCTGAAGGATAGATTGTAGCCTGTGGTAAAAGTCTCTCTGAGCAACGTGTTAGACCTTTAGTCTCTTTTCCTGTGAGCTAACCTCCCCTGGCTGATGATTGTGTTCCTTGTAAAGGAACTTCTCATAGTCAGATAAGGGAAGATAAGAGAAAGCCCTCCCAGCATTTGCTACTCCCAGGTGCTGTTAGTTTGAAGTCCAAAACAGTGTATTTTAGGATATTGTTTTCTGAGCCTCCCAAAATGAAATAAGAACATTAAATTAAAGAACATAGTTAAGAACAATATACAAGGTATTTACTAGATGCTATATAGTGAATACAAAGATATTAAAGATGCTCTTTGTCCTCTGAGTTTCCAGTCTCCAAGAATAGTTAATGTTAGTGGGCAGAGATATTGGGTACGAGTGGTGGGCTAGGGATTATGAAGAGGCAGAGTAGGGGTGCTTGAATAACCTCTTCTTATGATTTTTGGGGCATTAGGGAATGCCTTTATTCTGGGTCATCTTCCTGCCTGCTTTATATGATGCCTGAACTACTAGTAAGACTTAATTCTCATAGGGGAGTATTTTTCTTTTTTCTTTTTTAAGGAGATGTTCTTTAAAATGCAAATAATTCCCAGAGGAGAAATACATCAGTTTTGTAGGATTAGTTCTTCACATATAAGAATTATGCCAGATTAGCTGTTTTTATTTCACAAATGGGGGTGAGATACTGAATGTTTAGGAGTTTACTGGGTGCAGGAGTAAGAATGAGTTTTAAATAAAGTGTTGAGGGGTACTAATTATCCAGAGGTAACAAGAGGAGAAGACAGAAGGTAAGAAGGAGAGCTATATTATGCCATTTTGCTTAAGACTAACACTGGCTACAGTGGTACACCCAAATGCCCAAATATATATATAGAAACGGAATAGAACTAGAATTCTCATGAAAAATACTTGCAGTTTGCTGGCGTTGCTCACCTGTCAGTTCCTGCTCCTCTCTTCTTATCCTGCCTGTGTTGGAGACCATGCATTCTCAGCTGGGGTGATACTGCTCCCAAGAAGGAGGACTGGTTCTTGAGGGGTGAAAAAATTATACTATTTTTATGTCTAAAACACAGATATACATATAGCACATAAGCAAATATATGGTATATCCGTGGGAGGGAGTTACAAAGTCTTCTTAGGAAAGGCAATAATGAAAAGAAGGTTGGGAAACATTGATGTAGACCAGGTTAATTGGGAAGGCAAAAATCTGAGAAGAAGATACAGTTGGGGAAAAGTCACAAATAAAAGGCCAGATTTACTATGTATGGAAAAAAAATTAGGAGAGACAGAAAGGGGATAGTAAATCAGTAGACTTCAGGGAAAACATTTATGGTTGGTGACAAGATAGATCTCAGGGAGTCATGGGGAGAGAAATTGAGTGCAAGAGGAAGGGGAAAGGAAATTTCAAAACATATATTGCTGTGGATTGTTTATAGAATTCCCATTGACACTGGTCAAAGGAGGCAAGTAAGGATTAGAACTACACATGACTAGTTTTGACTTCTAAACTTCAGTGGTGGCATCAAAAAAGTCAATTCTTTGAGAATAATAATCAGTGTTTTCTCAGTCTTATGTAAAATGCAACAACAAAAAAATGCAGCTATTATAGGCTCTTTAGTAGCCCTCCAATAATATAAGTCCCTAAGCCCATATTATTTAGAAGCCACTACAGATGATTGTGTTCCTTTGAAAGCAGCATCTAGACACTGGGCTTCATGAACCCTGGACTTTATTTGGGTTATGGAGTTTATTAATTGCTCTAGAAGACATCTAAGCTGACTGGTCTATAGGGAGTGTTTCAGTTCTTAAGAGCTGCCTCAAAAGAATATTAACATTGTCCTTTGTGCATCTTTGAACACCCACCTACATGAATGCCACCAGTCTAGAAAAGTCCAAAGACTTGTGTCAGAATATCTACAAAGGAACCAGGCATCCTACATATTTCATTGGCCTTCCAAAGGAGCTATATCTTCTAATGATGGAGAGTAGAGAAATGATTTTTCAGATATCATGCTGCAAATTAATATCATTCTTGGGAAATAGATGAGGTCTACCTTGTTCCATTCACCGGCTTGAAATAGCAGGAATATAAATCAGAGAAAATGGCTGAGGTGAGTCTCAATCATTTTAGAGGTTTACTTTGCCAAGGTTGAGGACAAGAAAAGGAACACAAAATCACAGGATCATCTGTGATCCATGCTTTTTCCAAGGAGGTTTGGGACTTCAATATTTAAAGGGGAAAGAATGGGCAGTAGGGAAAAGAGAAAGGAAAAAGGCAGCCGGGGGGGAGGGTGTCAGGGGGAATAGATAAAAGGGGCAAGCTGTTGCATTCTTTTGAGGCTTTGATCATCAGTCACTGAATCCACATGTTACATGTGAAAGGAGGGGTTAGAGAAATAGTCAATTGTGCATTGCTCAGTGACTCTGCATTTTTACATGAGGTAAAGTAAACACAGAGGAAGAAATCAAATACTATTTGTCTCAGGCAAGGGGAGGGATCACTTGCAGTCCTGTTCTTTGACCCTTACCTGTGAAGATAACCTGTTAGTTTCACATTGTCAGGGTGAAATTCAACAGAACTGTTTTAGGGTAAAGATCTTGAGGCCCACAGGAAATTCCTTCATGAGGAAATTGTGTGGGAGGCCTCCTGGGGAAGTAGGTGGCCTTCTATCTTTGTTGCTATTTAGGGATAAAATGGGAGGCAGTTCTGTGTGGTTCAGTTCCCAAGGTTGACTTTTCCTTTTGGCATAGTGAGTTTGGGGTCCTCAGATTTTTATTTTTCTTCCACAGGATTCTCCCTGAAATGAACAACAATATGGTCCATTTCCCACTGTCAAGGATGTCCTCAAAAATCACTCATTGTATTGTGCATAAAGTCTTTTGGCTGCCAGAGAAAGTTTATTACACTGTACCAACGACAGTGAGGTTGTTTGTTAAATGGATTACAATACAAATAACTAAGTTATACTTTTCAAAAATAATGCAGACCGCATAGGTCAGAAAGGCATAGAGCTTTTGCATTAAATTAGGAGCACAAGTATTCCCATTCATTTAATAAGCAATCCCTTACCAATGATAAATGCCCAAATCACCAGAATCAATTATGTAAGTTAAAGGAACAAAACATGATTAGAACTTTCAAATGCAATTGAGTGCTTCCCTGCTACCCTTAAGTTGGCATCTGAGTGCTGGGAAGGTTTGAGGGAGAGAAGAGAGAAAAAGGAACAACATCACGGTCAAGGGCAGACAGGCACTTCCCAGAGGTAGTTTGGAAATAGTCCAAATTTTGTGGTTAAAAATAAACAAGGCTTTCTGTAAATTTCTTTTTCCCCATTGTAAGTTGTCTGACGTGATCATGACCTTGTTGGCAAATTCTGTTTTCATTGTGACTGGAAAACCTTTTACCTCAAGCTCACTTTGGGGAAAATTTAGTCCTTACGGTTCTAATTTCTTCCTTTACCAGTTTGCTGTCTTTTTTCTCCCCTGTCTGAGGAACTTCTTGGAAAGTTCAACTCATTTGTCTAAGGGTTTCTTCCTCAGGGTCATTCTGAAATTTCATTGTATTATATCAATTTCATTTGATATACTTAGGTTTAATCAATAGAGAATGATATTTACTGGGAGGGAAACAGCAATGACTAAAGCAAAATATAGTTGGTACAACCTGAATTCAGATGGTATCAACATGACTGGAGTAGTGATGGAAGGATTTTATGGAAGTAAAAAGAATACTTCATATCTTAAAACTTGATTTCATAGTATCCCCACTTTCTCCTAATACTGTTGAGTAGTTAATATCAATTAAAATAAAGTTTGTTTTATTTTGAAGCTCTTTCGAGAACTTCCAAAAGTATCTCAAAGTGATTTAAGAAAATCTGTGATGTGCTGTAACTAGAAATTAATGATTAGAAATACAGTAACTTCACTCAAAACCTCTCATTATTAGCATATACACTGGAGGTAGGTAGGAAAGTGTGTCAATGTCAAAAGTTACATTTAAAATTGACCACAATTTTTTTGGGGGGGTGGGAGGAAGAGGTAAAATTTACAGATAGTCTCTACACATTGTTTTCTCATATTACGATGTATAGTTAAGCTTTATTCAGCACATAATTGAGACAGCCAGGTGGGAAAGTGTCCCCAAAGAATCTCCAACCAGCCTGCCCACTGGGAGGAGTGTGCACTGGGGTGGAACCACAGAAGTCTGTGCCATTTGCAGTGGGGAGGAGCCTGGCCCCTCCTCTTCCTGGGTGGAATTTGGGATTCAATCTGTGAGGTGGGAAGCTTATACTAGGAGGACTCTCACTCTGTTTTTTTTCTCCTTTTTGCCCAGTAAATCCCATTATTCTCACCCTTCAAATTGTCTGCAAGCCTACTTCTGTGGCCAAATGACAAGGACCCTGCCTTTAGCTGAATTAAGGACAAGTCCCGCAATGTGATTATAATAGTCCCAGACCTACTGAGATACAAAAGAACTAAGTGGTTTCCTGCCAGGGAGAAAATTACCACGGAAAAGGTAATGAGAGGTGATAGCCTCCTGGCAGCCCTCGCTCGCTCTGGGCACCTCCTTGGCCTAGGCGCCCACTCTCGCTGCGCTTGAGGGGCCCTTCAGGCCACTTCTTGCGGGGCTTCCCCACCATGGGAGCCCCTCTCTGGGCTGGCCAAGGCCGGAGCCGGCTCCCTCAGCTTGCGGGAGGTGTGGAGGGAGAGGCGCGGGTGGGAACCGGGCTGCGCCTGGTGCTTGCAGGCCAGCGCGAGTTCTGGGTGGGCGTGGGCTCGGCGGCCCCACACTCGGAGCAGCCGGCCAGTGCTGCCGGCCGGGTGAGTGAGGGGCTTAGCACCCAGGCCAGCAGCTGCAGAGGGTACGCCGGGTCCCCCAGCAGTGCCGGCCCCCCGGCGCTGCGCTGGAATTCTTGCCGGGCCTCAGCTGCCTCCCGGCGGGGCAGGGCTCCGGACCTGCAGCCCGCCATGCCTGAGCCTCCCTCCCGCCCCCCACCGCCGTGGGCTCCTGCGCGGCCCCACGAGCGCTACCCCCTGCTCTGCAGCGCCCGGTCCCATCCACAGCTCAAGGGCTGAGGATTGTGGGCGCATGGTGCGGGACTGGCGGGCAGCTCCACCTGCTGTCCGGTGTGGAATCCACTAGGTGAAGCCAGCTGGGCTCCTGAGTCTAGTGGGGACTTGGAGAACCTTTATGTCTAGCTAAGGGATTGTAAATACACCAATCAGCACTGTGTCTAGGTCAAGGTTTGTAAACACACCAATCAGCACCCTGTGTCTAGCTCAAGGTTTGTTAATGCACCAATCAGTGCTCTGTGTCTAGCTAATCCAGTGGGGACTTGGAGAACCTTTATGTCTAGCTAAGGGATTGTAAATACACCAATCAGCACTCTGTGTCTAGCTCAAGGTTTGTAAATGCACCAATCAGCACCCTGTGTCTAGCTCAAGGTTTGTAAATGCACCTATCAGTGCTCTGTGTCTAGCTAATCAAGTGGGGACTTGAAGAACTTTTGTGTCTAGCTCAGGGATTGTAAATGCAACAATCAGCACCCTGTCAAAATGGACCAATCAGCTCTCTGCAAAACAGATGAATCAGCTCTCTGTAAAATGGACTAATCAGCAGGATGTGGGTGGGACCAGATAAGGGAATAAAAGCAGGCTGCCCCAGCCAGCAGTGGCAACCCGCTTCGGGTCCCCTTCCACACGGTGGAAGCTTTGTTCTTTTGCTCTTTGCAATAAATCTTGCTGCTGCTCAGTCTTTGGGTCTGCACTGTCTTTATGAGGTGTAACACTCATTGCAAAGGTGTGCAGCTTCACTCCTGCGCCAGCGAGACCACGAACCCACAAGAAGGAAGAAACTCCGAATACATCCGAACATCAGAAGGAACAAACTCCGGACACGCGGACTTTACGAACTGTAACACTCACCGCGAGGGTCCGCGGCTTCATTCTTGAAGTCAGTGAGACCAAGAACCCACCAATTCCGGACACAGTAAGACAGCACTCCTGTGGAACTGCTTCATGGAATTTAAGAAACTTGGTTTCAGAGCTGGTAGACTCCTTTAAATCACCAATGTGTTTTAGCAGAAACCTACAACACACTGAGAATATCAATGAACCTCAAGATGTTTAATAGCCAGTATTTTTGTGACTGTCCCTTGAATTAGACATGCTAGCCACAGGGAGCAAAGGAAGTGAGGTGGGGCAGAGAGTGGGTGGGGATGAGGCTAGTTTTGCCCCACTGTGTTTCCATGAAGTTTTGTATAAAGTGGACTTTATGGTGTTTGCTGAAACCCATCTGCAGGGGAAAGGTTTGTTTGAACTTGAGGTAAAATAAGCTACCAGCTACTGTACTTCCTGGCCTGCCTCAGTGAGCCAGCCAGGAAGGGGTTATCCCCAGGCACTTCTCTCCCTCTGACCCCACTGCAGAGGTACTGCTTGTGCTGCCCTAATGAATACACTCTTCCTCGCCTCCTGAATTTGCTCTTTTACCTAAACGGAAACAAATACTGAAAATATAAGACGTGTTATTGCAAAAAGAAGGAGTAAAGTCAGAGTCTGTGACTTTCCCACACATCAGTGGAAGCTGGTGTTTTTTGAATAGAAGTCATCTCTGTATGGCTGGCTGTCAGACAGAACCTCCCACACAGAAGGGACCCACACTGGGTTTCTTTCTCCTGTCTTACCATCCTGGGATTCTTACTGATTATCTTTAAACTTACAGTTTATAACTGAAGTCTGATGGGACACTGGAGCATGGGCTTGAGCAGATGAAATATGTGGAAGCAAGGAAGGAGCTTTGTAGTTTAGTACTTAATAGCACTTCCCCCTGCTTTTTGAACAAGAGATGCTGCATTTTCATTGGTACTGGGCTTCACGAATTGTGTAACTAGTCCGGTCTCTCTGTGGATCTCTACTGTTTTTTATTCTACTAATAACAGCATACTTGTATTAGTCAGGGTTCTCCAGAGACACGGAACGAATAGAATATATACAGATATACAAGAAGAGACTTGTTATGGGAATTGGCTCATGTGATGATGGAGGTCAAGAAGCCCCACTATACACTGAAGCCAACTGGAGAACCAGGAAAACTGGTGGTGTAATTCAGTCCAAGACTTAAGGCTTGGGAACCTGGGGGGCTACTGGTGTAAGTTCTGGAGTCCAAAGGTCCAAAAACCAGGACCACCCACGTCCCAAGGCAGGGGAAGATGGATGGCCCAGATCAAGCAGATAGAGAAAATTCACGCTTCCGCCACCTCTTTGTTCTCTTGAGGCCCTCAATGCATTGGATGGTGCCCACCTGCATTGATGAGGGTGATATTCTGTACTAAGTCTACTGATGGATTCAACGCTGATCTCTTTCAGAAACACCCTCAAAGACATACTTAAAATAATGTTTACAGGCTATCTGGGCATCCCTTAGCCCTGTTAAGTCAACACATATAATTAACTATCACAACATCTTTTTATTATTTTTGCCTATGAAGTGGTCATGTTAATCTGTTAAGCTTGTATTATGTTTTTCTGTAAATATTCTTGGGACTACTCTGTAGGCATCAGTTTATGAGACTCATGAAATAGTGTTAACTATTAGTACTAATGGCACTGGAAATTCTAAAATCAAGACCACGTAAGAGAACAAAGATGTGACAGTGAAATACACTTGCTGTGGATTCTGAAGGCATTTCTAAAAGATGTTCAGAAATGTAGCGTATAACTTCCCAAGATGACAATTTCAAAGAGATTTCATTTGGATACCTAAGTATTGGTAATTAAAAAACCAGGTCAGGTGCAGTGGCTCACGCCTGTAATCCCAGCACTTTGGGAGGCAGAGGTGGGCAGATCACGTGAGGTCAGGAGTTCGAAACCAGCTTGGCCAACATGGTGAAACCCCATCTCTACTAAAAATACAAAAATTAACCAAGAGTGGTGGTGGGCACCTGTAATTCCAGCTACTTGGGAGGCTGACACAGGAGA